>NC_000003.12:132341937-132493452 GCF_000001405.40 Homo sapiens | reverse complement strand
CTGACTAAAAAGCCTGTATCTAGTATCTCATGTTGAATCCTGAATAAGTACCAGAGTCTACCTGCCTTTTTTTGGTCACTGCATTGTAAAGAGGCAGTGACTTGCAGTATAAATGGCAATTATTCTGAAATCTTTTAGATGGTAATAATGGTATAAGTTCCACCACAGTAACAGAACAACATGGGCACAGGTGCCCACAGATACACAAAGACTCAGGTTAGGGGGGTCCCAAGGGCACTCTGGACAGGCCAACAGTGTATATACTGTTTTACAATGAGCAGGTCGCACTCATTGCCTCTTACGCGTGCCAGGAATTATGCTTATGTGAATTCTTAATAATCTTCATAAACACCACCAGATAGCTGCTATTATTACCAATATTTTAGAGATGAGAACTGAAGTTTAGACAAATCAAGCAATGTACTGAATATTAAAGAGTTATTAAATATTAATGGCCCAGCTGAAACTCAATCCCAGACTGGCTAACTCCAACATCTGTGAGCTTAATCAACCTGCTATAAAGACAAGCTTCCACCAAGGTATTATAGTATATAATACTATATATATATAATTATGTTATCTGCATGAAATTTGTTTTGTCTTTGCCACAAAAGATCAAGATTGCAATACTCTTAATACTCCCTTAAAAAATTATCTTTCAGTGTGAGATCTACCCAAATATAATAAACTATACTCAGAGTCACACAGTGCTTAGTGCTTAAGAAGGAATACTTAAGAAAGCTATTAACCATCTTACTGCAGGAGGACAAAATACCCAGAAGTGTTTAGAGGCTATTTTTATGGCTTAAGGTGGCACAAATTAAACTGCTGACTTACCGGGTCTTTAATTGGCCAATCTGGAAACCGGAGTGTATCACACAGTTGTTTGAGGTAATAAATATTACAAAATAGTTCATTTTCGAGTTGTGGATAGTTGATTATAGGAATGGGGCAATACTGATAAAGTGCTCTTGTGTTACTCTGAAGACGAGGTGTGAAATCCGCGAGATGGGCAGCAATCTTCTCTATCATCAGGCGCCTACAATCATAAAAACCTCCATTCAAGCTTTATGAGGTATTATTTTAAAGAGAAGGTTGAGATACATAATCATGTAAGATAGTTACATGAATCATCTATAGAATAACTCAATGATTATCCTAAAATGAGAGCTTTTAAATATGGTACTTTGGGCATTTTATTGTACAAACATGGAAAAAACTTATCTATGATACTCATCTGTAAAGAAGATCATAGAGAAAAGGGCTGATAATCCCAGTCCTTCCTATTAAAAAATCAGCCATTAGAAGGGCAAATGGTATAGCATCTGAATGCATGAGGGTGTAGCTAGGAAACTGAAACTGGCTATTATCCAAAGAAGCTCGCTAGATGGTATTTATTTCAATTAACTTACTGTAGTCTAGGATCTGGCCTCAGCTAAGCAGAAACTTATCAGCACATAGAGCAATTCGTCTTTTAGATGGGGCCTTATATTTGCCAATCTCAGGAGAAAAATATTACACAGAAGAACTGTGTTGCTAATTTATTAATATTCTTATATATTTTTTCCCAATGAAAAATATGACTGCCATACAGAATATATTCAAATTGCTGGCTAACACATGCCAAGCCCATAGGTCAAGAAGTCAAATGATAACAAGCAGGTGGCATGGAGTGTGTGCAGTCTGACGAGGGTCAGTAATTGACATAGAAGATCTAATGCTATCTAGCTAAGGGAATTGAGGGGTTCTCCAAAAAGAGATAGCCTTGACACTGGAAATATGAAGTATCAAGTCTTTTCTGAACAGAAACTGGCTGGGCACTGTTATCTGCTTCTGAGCCTTTCCTTTTTCTGTGTTTCCACAGGTTTCTCCTATGGCATTCCCCCCCAACAAAGACATACCTTAGGAATGCTAACCTCCAGATTAAGGACAAAAGGTGTTGGTAAGGGAGCCCACATTCTAGAATAATTTCGGGTATCTCTGTTCTGATTCATCGATCCAAATTATGTGGGCATAGCTTTTAATTAGTGGGAGTATAGTCCTACTTCCAGATACCCAGAGGTATGTCTTGATTTTACCCCAATTCCCTATATATATATTATCAGTTCATTACCTAAAACCTTACGAGTTCTATAAACTGATTTAAGAAGTACCAGCAGTTGGTAGGCCCTACCATTATATAAAGCTCTATTAAGGTAATAGCAATTTTGTCAAATCTTATTAGAATAGAGAAAACCTTAAGGCCTTATCAAAATCCATCATTTGATTTGGCATCAATGATTACTGTCATTTTAGATTATAAACCTAGTGAAA
The DNA here is from genome assembly GCF_000001405.40 of Homo sapiens. NCBI lineage: Eukaryota > Metazoa > Chordata > Mammalia > Primates > Hominidae > Homo > Homo sapiens. The sequence goes on along the minus strand of NC_000003.12, from coordinate 132,491,139 downwards.
ACATTTCTTTTAACAGAAGTCAAAGCAGATGGCGAGCAGCAAAGACTTAATTATAAAATACAAATCAATCAGTCAACTGGTTATTTACCTCATTTCACTGCTCCAGATTGCTTCTGGAGTATCAAATTCTCCTAGAAAAATCTCAGAAAACTTTTCAGGTTCATAATTTTCTAAGTAACAAACCATTGCTTCAGGTAGAATGTGCCCAAGTATACTTCTCTGAAAAATATCTTGTCCTTTTGTCTTCAAAACAAAACAAAACAAAAGGTAGTCAAAAACACTAAAGTTAACTTTCAATTTTCTAATAAATGATTTATGGTTAGAGAACACTTTAAGAAAAGAACACAATTGGAACAAATTGCTTTTATGCTTTGGGAATGTAGATGGAAACACAGCAAAATGTGAACTGGAAGGTATCTGGTACAAACTGGCTTGGCATGAGCTCTAAGGCAGAACCAACAGCCTCTGGCCCTGCAGCAGTCTTAGCTTTAAGTGTCACAAGCTGCCAATATTATTTAGGACGACTGGCCTTTGACCATGTGTAACAGTAATGGATAACAGAAGGAATATCCCAAGAAGATTTACATCAATTATCCTGCATTATATTGTTGGCTGTAGGTCCCACCTGTACTTGCTTCTGTTTTCAAAAATAAGTTCAGAAGATCATTAAGAGCCTGTCCTCATGAAATGTAGCTAGGATTTAGATGGAGAATTTCTACTTAAAGTAATTATAATTAACTGCTTTGCGAAGTCCATATCCTCTGGCAGGCCAAATGGAGTTAGGATAATGATCATACTAAATTTTAAACTCATTTCTTTACTCAATGGAAATAAAATCCCAAGGGCTAGCTAGGATTTATACAAATAAATGCTTTTCTTATTTCCTTCTAGGCAAATTTAAAGACATTTTACTTCTCTAGGATAAAACAAAGAGACGAGGGAAAAAACCCAAACATTGTTTTATCATGTGGTGCAAAGACAAATTAGAAGATGAATATTTTCAGGCTTTCTGCTAATAAGAGTAACAAATTCACTATCTGTTAAACTTTTGGGTAAAGAATTGCTAGTTGTATTCTTCAATACTATTATTTGGTAATTCATACATCCAGACTTGTGCTATAAACACTGTTTTGCTATAATTATTCAAAATACTGTTAGCTGAAATGATACAAATCATTTCTAATAAATTTGGAAAAAATTACAATATGCATAATGGCACAGAAATAAAGGAAGAAAAAGAATGCCCAAATGTCTAATACTACATGAAGGTACTATCATTAGAGACTTTTTTAACTTGTTTATATTCTCATTTTCTATTTGTAAAAAGCTGTGGAAATTATGCTGCCATGGGCATCTTTAATATTAGACAAATGGGTTACTTTCTAGGGCTTCATTGGCTGCTCTATAAAACATATAATTTAGTGTCTATTGTCAAGGTGGTGCAACATTCCTTGGTTAGTCTTCTCAACAGTGGTCTGGTTTTGGTTTCTTATTCTGCTTGATATGATCCAAAAAAAAATCCATGCTCCATGAAAAGCTGAACATATTTCAAAACACCCTTCAGTTTCATTTTAACAATAAATATCTCTTTGTAAAATGTAGGCATTAAGTTTAGATTGTCAAAACTACCTAAATAAGTTTTTTTTTTTTTAATTCCCAGCTTAACCCCACAGTAAAATGAAAGCATATGAAACATGGAGCAGCTTCAAAAAAGAAACCTAGCACTTCTGCCACTTTGGGATCTGAACAAAAAGGCTGAAGTCTTCCTGAATCTTAGCTGACGATGTAAGACTCAGGTACATAATGAATTATTTACAAAAATCACTAATCTAAACTTTATACAAAGAGAACAACTTATATTCATGGAGGTGTCAGGCTATAGTTCATAGCTGCAATTTCAATATTAAGTCTAATGAGTCAGCAACATTTATTTTCCTTTAAAAATATTAGCTTAGACTTTATATGTGCAAGGTACCACAAACAATGTAAGAACAGAATAAAACAATACCTACCCTCAAGTACTTATAATCTAGTAAACATAATACACAGCTCAGGAAACTTTATAGTGCCAAAACAGCTTACCCAGGGTTAAGTATTCAGAGGATTAACCTGGCTTACCTCTTCTGACTTGAAAGCCTGTTTGGTATGTGTGTATTTCAAAAATCTAGAAAGAAAAATGAATTATCTATCAGATATAGAAACCGATTTAGTTTTTGTAACCTTAGTTTTCTAAAGACTAGATCTTTTATAGCTAAATAAAACTCACAAATGGCAACTCACATAAATCCATATTCCCAAATTATTTAATTTCTGAATAAGGCAAGAACTTAAATGAACTAGAAAGATTTTTAAAGTGTAGTCATATTAAAGCTATGTGACAATATAAAAAAATTATTAAACTTTAAGAAAGCAAAATGTGAAACTGCATGTACAATATGAATATAGTTATATTAAATACATACTTAAATACTAGATAATACATTCTTATGCTAGATGTGGAATAGTGGTACAATTCTGAGTAATTTTCCCCCATTCTTCTGCTTTCCAACTCTTTAGACATGTACTTAAATAGCCTTTACAATTATAATTTTAATAAAAGCAATAAGGTACTCACAAATAATTCAATTAAATCAGTCCATATAAAATTCAAATAATACTTTTAAATAGATTACCCTTAAAGTTCTTACCGAGCAACAGGAAGCACATTGGAACCTGTGTACATCATGATAAAGAAAAATACTCCACTCAGATAAAGGCGGGGTAACTGTGGGTTATCTTGCATGATATGGTATAACAAAATAGCAACCTTCTCAACAAGGATAGGGTCAAAGGTCAGCAGTAGCTGAAAAAAAATTAAAATGTTTTTATTGGGTTGTAAAAAACCTGCATCATCACTTTAGGTTTTTTATTTCATATGCTGAGGTTATAGCTCCTTATGTAAATTATAAAATAAAAACCCATGGGAGTCAGTAAGCTCATCTACCAGACCCACAACAGATTTGAAAAATGATTCATTCTACAACATTTAATGCAGAACATCAATTGAGAATTGATCAAAATGTATTCAGAAAAGCCCAAACATGCCTGAAGCTAGTTTTGTCATAATGTTACAGGTAACATTGCTTCTTGTGCAAGAATCTTCCTAAAAAGACTTCTCGGTTTGTTTCAACTCAGCTGAGCTGACACAAGAATCCCCTGAAGGCTTCTTGAGAACTCAAGGAGCAGAGCAGAAAATAATGATCAATAAAACAGCCTAAAAGGTAGATCCAGAAGTGCAGGTAACAGGCAAGAGGGTAAACAAGTATCAGGTAGTACATCTGCTACCAGGAAGTACCAAAAGATGTGGCCTCTAGAAATTTGAGCTAGAAATACTGAAGGGAATTTCTGGAATTACTCTAATAAATCTGGGCTAATTAAAAACCATACAGAATTGCTATGAATAAACTTTTGATAAACATTTAATAAGTTTTATCTACGAAGCTTAATAAAGGTGTCGTTCCAATTTTCTATAAAACACTTGCTTCCAATGAATCCTCAATTCGGGGTCAAATGCTCCCAGTAAAAAAAAAAAAAAAAAAAATTACAGCCAGGCATGGTGGCTCACGCCTGTAATCCCAGCACTTTGGGGGCCTGAGGTGGGCGGATCACAAGGTCAGGAGTTCAAGACCAGCCTGGCCAACATGGTGAAACCCCGTCTCTACTAAAAGTACAAAAAATTAGCCGGGCATGGTGGCAGGTGCCTGTAATCCCAGCTACTCGGGAGGCTGAGGCAGGAGAATTGCTTAAACCCGGGAGGCGGAGGTTGCAGTGAGCAGAGATTGAGCCACTGCACTCCAACCTGGGCGACAGAGTAAAACTCCATCTCAAAAAATAAATAAATAAAATTAATTAATTAATTTACAATAAAGAGAGTAAGTAGCTCAGATTAGGAGGCCAAAGTTCTATACTCATATGTGAGACTAAACAGCTATGGGTCTTTTAAGTAAATAACTTAAATTTCTCTATGCTTTGGTGTCTTATCTATTCCACAAGGAATTTAGATTAAGCGTTTCATACTATTACATATTTTAAAAAGGAAACATACAGTCATATAGAATTTTCCCTAGTGTTAATGGCAGTAGTTCAAGACTTGACATTACGGAAATTAGTGGCAAACACCCACACAAGCACGCACACACACCCAACTACCCACCGTATTTCAATTTGTCACTATACTAGAAAACCTATAACATTTATTCAGCACACACACAGACACACACCTAGAGTATTTCAAACTATCACTATACTAGAAAACCTAGAACGTTTACTCACTGTATTTTGGATTACTCTAAAAATTCTGAAGCTCTATCAGATGGTAAAAATGATGACTGCTCTTAAAGTCAAATGAAGTACAGATATCCCTTTCCAACCGATGAAGATAACATTCCCAGAAACTACTATAGCCACCTAACTGTGCTTTGGCATGATTCAGGTCTCCCAGAATAGAAAAAATTAAAAGAAAAACAAAAATAACTTCTTAAAAATAATTTTTGAACTCAATATAAAAAAATAGGAGTCACACACTGTTCGAAGCTAGATTTATCAATATAAGTATCTTTAATCACTTTGTTCAGATATTACTGAAAATTTTTGGTTAATTAAAAGAAAGCCTCCCTCCCCCAAGCTTCATGTTATGCTGAGCACATTTCTTAAAAGTTTTTTAATCATCCCTTCCTAGACTGAAATTTAATGCCATTTGTATTTACTTTTTCCTTTCAGTTTCGTAAGACTTAGAAAAATGGGAGCGGTTGATCTTTTGGGTGTGGTGTTTTATCCACATGTTGAGAGGGTCTATCAGGGAGAAAAAATTCCTCTCTTTGCATCACCTCACATATGCAGCCACATGGCCCCACAGGAAAGGGGATGTGGTAATAGTTTAGAGCCCTCAATAATTGCAGTGCTTTTTCACTGAAGGATACGAATGGAAATGTCCACAAAAGAAAAGCAAAGAAATGTTAAAATGTGAGTATGCTTAAATAACAGAAATTGGCAAAAAAAAAAAAAAAAAAAAAAAAAAAGGATAGGGCATTACTGTATTTAGAAGTCTTTTTCAGCATCAATGACTTACATAAGCATTTAGGTAGTAAATAAGTGAATGTAAAAATATATAAACTGAGTTAACTCTTCTTTCCCACTGCAGACCAATGTACAACTGAAAGGTACAAATGGCACAAGTCACTGGCATACAACTTAATAGAAACATTTGCCTGAAATGTCTAGGACCTGACTTATTTGGGTTTAATGTTAATCTGAAGTTTAAATAGCTTAATTCCAAAAAAGCAGAATAATGCAAAAGAAAAAGATATTTTGGTGTATCCTAGATTAATACCAACTCAATGCTTTGAATCATTGGTATCAATGAAAACATAACTAAGAATAGTCAAAATCTACGGCAGAAGTTAGTAAGACTGCTGTGATTACTTCTTAAGATATGAACCACCAAGTCCACCCCTGTGGCCTGCTGGTGTACCTCCCAGTAGTCTTAACAACATCAACATACACCACAAACTGGAATAAATCACTTTTCAGATATTAAAGTGGTGTGATTTTAAAAATAGGTAATAAATAAAACTCTCTTAGCACAATTCTGGAATCTAGAAACTTCTCATGTTTAGGCTCAATCTTCCACAGCATATTCAGCAACTCAAGAGTAAGTGAAATAGCTGGGTGCAGTGGCTCATGCCTGTAATCCCAGCACTTTAGGAGGCCAAGGTGGATGGATCATTTGAGGCCAGGAGTTTGAGAACAGCCTGGTCAACATGGCAAAACCCCTGCTCTACTAAAAATACAAACAAAGTAGCTGGGTGTGGTGGCACATGCCTGTAATCCCAGCTACTCGGGAGGCTGAGCCAAGAGAATCATCTGAACATGGGAGGCGAAGGTTGGATTGGGTCAAGATCCTGCCACTGCACTTCAGCCTGGGCAACAGAGCAAGACTGTCTCAAAAAAATAAAAAAAAATAAAAAATTAAGTGAAATGAATGTAATTCAAAGTACAGGCCTTTTCCTTTTCTTTTTGAGACAAGGTCTTGCTCTGTTGCCCAGGCTGGAGTGCGGTGGCATGATCACAGCTCACTGCAGCCTCAAACTCCTGGGATCAAACAATCCTCCCACCTCAGCCTCCCAAGGGGCAGGGACTACAGACATGTGCCATCATGCCTGGCGGCCATTTACTTTATTTATTTATTTATTTTTTGTAGAGATGGGGTCTTCCTATGTTGACCAAAGTGGTCTCGAACTCCTTGACTCAAGCAACCCTCCCGCCTCAGCCTCCCAAAGTGCTGGGATTGGAGGTGTGAGACTCCACACCTGGCCTATTTAGGCTTTTTGAAAATGGAATAGACTGCAACAAAACAAAGACTGGTACTGATAATAAAATTCAGAGAAAATGATTCTTAAAATTGCTCCTAGTTTGATTACATAACTCACCTGAATAATATGGGGAAGGCAAGTGCTATCTGACAGCAGTCTTTTCACTTTGGGTAGAGGCCGAATGATGGCATTGTCTTGATCCCTAGAAAACATTTTCTCACGTCAACATTTAATATATTTGTTAAAATTTGTATGTTCAGAGCATACGACATTCTACTAGGCATGAAGCAGGTTACCTTACTTTTTTGTTAATGAAGACTAAGCTCTCATACAGCTGGGAACATGATTAGGTATTTTGGTTTAAATCTATTTGGCTGCTTAATATGACTTCATTTCCTTCCATAAGATTTCCTTGAAAAACAGTACCCTAGAAGAGCCAAAGACTCTTATTTATTATTTAATTGATTAAACTTGGTGTTGTTCAACACACTGTCAGTGGGTATTTTCCCCCAAAGGGCTTATCAAACTTTGTTACATAAATTTAAACCTTGATTTAACTATGTTTGGTATTTTCCAAGTATAGCTTTAATTTTAATGCTACCTTATTTCTAAATACTAACTGTATAATTTTGAGTCCAACTGGAACCATGAAAACTTCAAGTGTTTTAAAATGTTACAGTTTCTCAGTAATTTCCATCACAAGATATCTTTAGTACAGTAATGAATCAAAATGATTTATATGTAATTATTTCATAAAGATTAAAAAGTTACATGCAAGTGTTATCCTTATGACTTGGAGAACAAATTCTCACCTTCACTGGTCAAGTGGGGCAAGACGTGGGCCTACACTTGCCTTCTATAGCAGAAATAGCTAGCGTGTCAGATCAACAGCTGGCATTCACCACTGTCTATGGACTGCAGTATGTAATTCAAAACATTAACACCAATTCACATAAATTATAAAATTGTTACTATTGTAAGTCTCAGTTTTGTAACATTATTTGAAATCTCCCAGAAAAAGTTGCTTTTTTAGCAACTTTATTAATATAATTTGCAAATTCTTTATATCTGTTTCAAAAAATTCCAAAGGTCAAAACAGCATTCCTCCAAGGCCATAAATAGGACATCTTTGTTTTAAAACACCAGACCGATTCTATGCTGTTACTAAGGAAGCATATCAATTAACCATGGAAACATTCAATTACATTTTACCTGCTTGGAAAATATCCACACATTGTGATCAACATGTTCAATATAAGGGTAGCAAGGTCAGTTTCATTCAGGACAGCCTGTCCACTGGCTAAGAGACACCACTTAAGCTGGGGTATGGACTGAAGTGGTCGCCATCCATCCATGCCTTGAGCCCAGCATCTGGTTTTTGCATTTAACATTCCTTTGGTCCACAATTCTTGCATCTAATGGATGGAAGGCATTATTACAAACAGACAAAATAAAATGAAAAACCTCACTAGTGTTTTCTACTTTATAGTAAATACATACTAAATTATGAAACAAACATGTAAGTACACTATTTCAGAAAAAATAAGTTTTGTTGACAGGCCTTTAGGAACCCAAATTTGGTTAATACAAAAAAAAACCAAAAAACCCACCACCTGGCCAGCCTGCAGAGCATAAAGAATACTGGAAAGAGTAAAAATGACAGGTGGGGTGCTAAATAATCAAATTATACTAGAGCAGAATGGTTGGTCCTCCATAAAACTATCTTTGCCCAATTCGAAATGAGCCTGGGAGGCTGAAGATCAGAGGCAGGATCAAGTATCAAGATAAAGAGGAAAACTGTCCTTAGCTCTTGGACTGAATAATTTTCAATGAATTTTAGACTGCATATTAAAACTTACTTATTCATACCATATAGAAACATTATAGTTTGACGTAAGTACTAAGATAGCTTTTTTTTTTTCTTTTTTGGAGATAGGGTCTCGCTATTCATTGCCCAGGCTGGATTGCAGTGGTGTGATCATGGCTTACTGCAGTCTCAACCTCCTGGACTCAAGCGATCCTCCCACCTCAGCCTCTCAAGTAGCTGACACTATAGGCATGCACCACCATGCTTAGCTAATTATTTTTTATTTTAACAAAGATAGTCTCTTGCTATGTTGCCCAGGCTGGTCTTGAACTCCTGGCTTCAAGCGATCCTCCCACAGTGCCGGAATTACAGGTGTAAGCCACTACACCCAGCCAGAAATTATTACATAAAAATCACTAAAAACCTGAGTGCTATCTCCATAACAACAGCTTTTAAACAAGGTTTGAAGGCATAATTTTATATGTATGTTTGGTTCTCCATTTTTCATGTGGAAACTGAGTTGCAGGGCCCTTGGAGCTAATAACAGGAATTTAAATGACAGCTTTAAAACATTCCACGCCTCTGTAAGTGCTAAGCAGGAGGGCATAAGAAATGCTGAGACCTTCACCAAAAGTATCTCCAAGATACATACCTCATGAAATCCATACGGGCCACTCCTTTCTTTGTCTGCGTTGCCAAAATACCATTCCTTTTCACTCTCTCTTTTCATATCTGGAGCAGCTTCAATTACATTGCTCTAAGTTTAAAAAAGATTTAAATTATTTTCCAAGGCAGAAATCTAAAAGACCAGATGTCGTAAAACAAAGTTGCACAGCAGTACTTTGGAGGGGTTTATATCCCTTTAAAAGTTAACCTGAAAGTTTAAGTGACCTTATTTTAAGATTTAAGAGTTTAGGACAAAATGCCTAACCTAACAGTCCAAAAAAACTATTTCCTTATTAATATACATTTGAAGTAAATGGTTTCTTAAGTTCACACTCAGCAATCTAAGCTAAATTCAGTGACATCTACATTCCCCATGGTCATTAATAAATACCGAGGACACTAAGATTTTAGTAGCAAAGAATATTGCAAATAGTTATGTAAATAGATACGTATCATTAATCTTAAGCAACAATGCTCAAAATATTAAAGTTATTTTGGGGGAAAAACTCACTCCAACTAAGAGTTCCAATAAGTATCTGAGATCAAAGCATTAAAATGCTAACAGCAAAGTTAGTTTTCAGTGGTTTTATATAGTCTCAATTTAATACCTATTACCCTTACTACAAATAATTCTTACAATGTTCTCTATCAATGTTTTACAAGAATCTAGGTTAAAATTTTTATGTAGTCGGGTTATTTTATCACAACATGGTTATGTTCTTTGTCTTTCTTTTTTGAGACAGGGTCTTACTTTGTTACCTAGCCTGGAGTGCAATGGCACAAAAATGCCTCACTGCAGCCTTGACTTCCCAGGCTCATGCAATCCTCCTGCCTTAGCCCCTCAAGTAGCTGGGACTACAGGTGTGTGCCACCACATCTGGCTTTTTGTTTTTGTCAAGACAGGTTTTGCCAATTTGCTTAGGCTGGTCTTGAACTCCTGAGTTCAAGTGATCCTCCCGCCTCAGCCCCCCAAAGTGCTGGGATTACCAGTGTGAGCCACTGTGCCTGGCCTGTTCTTTTTCTTACAATCACCTTCCTTGAGAATGAAATAACATGTTTTTAAATACTGCCATAATTATCAGCTTTCAGTTAGACTCATATAGAGAGGTACAGCAAAGTTGTTATGAGCATATAGACTTCTGGGTCTTAACTCTAGCTCTGCCACTTATCAGGTGACCTTGGGCAAGATAGCCTCTGTGTTCCTTAGTTTCCTCATCTATAAAATGTGGATAGTAACCACCTCCAAGGGCTGTTGGGGGATTCAAAAAGTTAATGTATTGTATGTGTACCAGAACAGTACCTGTTGTAATGGTATATAACAGAATACATCATATACTAAATACTCAAATAGCACTTTCGGTCACAATTCACACGAAATCTAACATGACACATCTCCTTACATCAGGAAATTAAAACACCAAAAACATCAAATGAGCTAAGGATAGATTCTTCTATAAGTTAAGTATCAGTCCTCTTGGCTGGTATCAAGAAGGTGTCCAGACTCCTTTAAGGCAAAGCATATTCTTACTGCTTGCCAATGTTAAAAGTACTATTTACATATCTAATGAATTCAATTTATATCCTAAAAGTCACATTGCCTCAAGATAAGCCATATTAGAGATACAGTTACTTTAATTGACAAAATAAAACTCAATCGTTACTGTCCATTTTGGATCGTTCTTACAGTGGTTTCACATCTTCTGTGTGAAATCTCAGAACTAGTACTACTGTAATTACTGGAAAAATAAGTGTGTGACCACATCTTTTCAGATTTCTATGATTCTTTTGCCTCTAAAATTATACTCAAAGAACGTTAAATTTGTAAAACGTAAACAAGGATACGTACTTGCAGTGGTACTGTAGCTCGGCTTACATGGAGATGTGCAAGGGTAAGCAAGTCCACAAGGATTCTTATTCCATTTGAATCCATGAGATCCTTAACATTTTTCTGGAAGAGGAAAACATTTTTTTCGTAATCTAAACATTTTTCATAACCTAAAACCTATCCCAATAGTACCTTTCCCAATAGGTACTACCACCTACAAGGTCCTCGAAGAAAAGAATGTTTGGAGTCCTTGGAAATAAGTGATACGACTGGTATTACTTGGTCTTTTCAGCATTTTGTGTTCAAGGAACCTGAATTCCAATTGATTAAAAGGGCAAAACTATATTACAAAGAGATCACTTAAGAATTTTTACTTAAATATATTCTGAGGAAAAAACAACCTCTGGTTTTACAATTATTCTGTCAAGGTCTTTTTAATAAACAGATTATTCTATATCAGAAATAAAGTCTGCTATATTAAAAAATCTTTTAATGTTCCAGTTTGTTTTCATAAACTTAACTGGTAATTTCTTAGAAGTTAAGAGACTATAATTTCAATTAAAATTTCTTTGTACTTATAATTACACTTCAGTTTAAAACATTTGCATTACTTAAGAATAAAACTATGCAAATTGGTATTAGTATCAAAGTTTTAAGAAATGAAAATCCGCTTACACTTCAACATAAATTGTGAATTAATGTTATATATTACAACTGTGAATTCCTCTTGTTTGAAATGAGCATGAACCTATTAAAATGTCTTTAAAAAGAAAATACAGAGTAAAATGACTAATCTTATAACTTCCAATTACTTTTTATCAACAAAATGTACACTGATAAAGACTTTCCATTTTATGTCAAGCATATATTTTACTTAAAATTTAACCCTAAAGAGTCCCTAAAGAAAAATAAGCTAATTTTTATTATTAAAAATCATTTTAATGTATTAAAAGTCATCCATTATTCGTCATTCAGAATTTTATTATCATTAATTCATTCTGCACCCACAATATTAAGACAGACTATACAGGGAATACTGACAAAAACCTCTCCCTCCAGGAGATTAGAGCACACAGAACTTTCTGTCTAAAAAGGAGAAGACAGAAAAGAACACTCCCTGGATAATCAACTCAAACTGTGAGTTTATCTTACATACTTATATGACTTGGAAATAACAATGTATGTATGCGAAACTACTGTACCTTATTAAGGATCAACTTGTTAAGGAAGAGAATCAACCTATCTCGTTCAAGTTTATCTGTGCACTATTGAAATAAATGAGAATCTGGTCAGAAGTGAATAGAAATAAAAATTAAGGTATTACTATTACTAGACAAAATAAACCAACAGCCCATAAGAAGTAATGCCATTTTATAAACATTAAGGAGAAAAATCATAGAAATCTGTCAATTATTGCAATTCCTTAATGAATCCTGAAAATTACATTCTTTATATAACTTGTCTAATCTCCCTAGAAAGGCAGACATTTTAAAGTCATCAGATTAATATATAGCTTTAAGGAGATAAGTAAAAATTGAAGTAAGTGAAATAATGTAAGTGAAATAATTGGTCCAAATGATACTTGAAGTAAAAGGATGTAAACACAAAAGAAAGTATAAAACATATACACTGCAACAAACAGGCAGCAATCAAATGAGCTGCATGATGAATTGATTAATTTGTCCCCTCCACCATGTTCAAATGTTAAATGACAAATTCTTAAAATAAAAAAATTTTTTTTGAGACAAGGTCTTGCTCTGTCATCCAGGCTGGAGTGTGATCACAGCTCACTGCAGCCTCAACCTCCTGGGTTCAAGTGATCCTCCCACTTCCAGGTGAACCACCAGGTACATGCCACCACGTCCACTAATTTTTTTATTTGACAAACTGTATAAAATTTTTTGTAGAGTGCTAACTCAAGGTTTCTTTTTTGGAAGGGTAGCATTGTAGTTTTAAAAGGTTTTTACTATCTTCACACTTCTAAATTTAGTATGGTAGCATCAATTAAGATTTTTCCAAAATGGAAAATCAAAGGTACATACAACTCTACAAGTCACCATTTCTTTTATACACCTGTCCAACTCATCCATACTTAAAGACTGACAAGTAGGTCAACTAAAGTCATTTGAAAACAGTAACTGAAACACATAAAGTGACATGGACAAATTCTAACCCATTATTCATTTTCCTATTCATCTAACTCAGATTTAAATAAGTATAAATTACAGAAAAATGAATGCAGAAAGTTACAGTAATAATGTGATCAAACAGAATTTAAATTTAGTTTTTAAAATTTAACACATACCCTAGTGACACTATCAAATAGTAATTTCCTTAAATGATATCCTTACCCTCTCTAACATTCCAATGATATATCTGGTATCTGTAAAAGGTCCTATTTCTTCGTGACATCTGCCATAAACAATAGCAAGGGCTTGTAAACATAAACACTTCATGTTTACTTTTGGGGTGAGCAAGAAGCGATGATAAAGCTCATTGAAAAATTCATACCTAGATTTTAAAAAAAAAAGTTCACAATAGAAATAGCCATGAAACCAACAGTGAAAACAAATGCGACAGGATATACAGAGTAGCTCACGATCTCTTAATTGATCCACTTTCTTCATTCTCATCTTCCTCCAATAGTAATCTCAGGTAATAGTCTCCTATTTTAATTTCCTCTGCCAGGCACTCATATTTAACCTTCATAAACAAAAGCAAATTACACTATTTTAGTTTACAATAGATTTTGGCAATTTCTAATAATTGTTTCTTATAGTTCTTTCTGTTCAAAACTTATTTCTTAAAATACCTGTTAATTCAATATTGTTAACATGACTATTTTAGCTAAATGCTGAGAATTACATACCAATTTTATAAATGTAAGACCTGCTGATAAAAATTGTCACAGCACTATCTGGTGTCAATTAAAAAAGGAGGAATAAAATCTGCTTTATTCCCTACTGGGTTTGCCGTAAAAAAGCAAGGAGTAGATGGTCCTGCATCACACATGATTTGCTCAACACACATACACTACTTCAGGTCTTCCCTCTATCCCACAGCTCTATCCCTGGTGATGTGCCAGACTTAAAACCAACACATCAACTACCTTTTACATTTTCGTAAAGAATTCCTTCTATGTCAAATCACCCCATGTTACTACATTGAGGTGATAAATGAGGGCAAAGTCAAAGATCAGGAGTTGGGGCACCACCACTATGCTTGCACTCAGGCTGTGTGTCTCAAGGAAAGATTTCAGGCAATTATAAAAAGGAATTCCCAGATCAGAATTCTTTTTCCGAAGTCTAAAATAATAGATTTCTAAAAATATAAATTATATAAAACCAAATATATATCTTCATTTCATTTTCTATATAAAGTCTAAGCATTCAATTCATTCAATTTCTATTAAGCATACACTGTGTGCCATGTACTATTCCAGGCACTGGAGACGCAGCAGTTGAACAAACAAAGGTTTCTAGGCTCACAGGTGAAGCCTGTAAAAAAGTGAAATATATTTGATAGTTGGGTGACAGTAAGTACTACAGAGTAAAATAAAGCAGGAAATGGGGATAGGCAGAGAGAATGTGTATGTAAATATGTGTGTATGTATAAAAGGGGCTGCATTTTTAAACAAGGTATCCAGGGAAGGCCCACCCAGATAACGACATTCAAAAGATCTGAAGATGAGAAAACAGGTTATGAGGCTATCTGTGGAAAACCCTTATTCTAAGCAGAGGAAACACCAAAGAAGACGACCTTGAGGCAAGAATGTGAATTTGGTGTTTTCTAAGAAGCCTATTTGGCTGGAACAGAGTGTGAGAGAGGGAGGAGTAGGATATGAGATAAAAGAAACAATGCTTAGCATTGGGGGTTACACAGATGCTGGTTTTAAGTCATTTTAAGGACTCAGATTTTAACTGAGATGGGAAACCACAAGAGCACCAAGGGTTTGAGCACAGAAATGATGTGCTTGCTATTTAACAAGGTAACCCTCCAATGTTGATAACAGATTCCAGGGAGGCAAGAGTAGAAGCAGTGACATTGTTGCAATCTAAAAGCAAGAAGGTCTAAATAAATTTTGAAGGTGCACTGTATGGAATTTGCTAAAAAACTTGATATAAAAGGTAATGTCAAGGGTTTTCACTAGAAAATAAGGAGTAGTCATTATCTAAGATCATAAAGACTGTAAGAGAAGTAGGCTCGGGAAGAACAAGAGCACAATTTTGGAGAAAAGTTCTAGATACTTATCAGATATCCAATTATGAGATAGAAGTATGAAGTCTAGGGCTAAAAGTCGAAGCAAGAGATAAAAATCTGGAAGCTATCAGCAAATAAAAAGCCAGACTGGGCAACATGGTGAAACCTCGTCTCCATAAAAAATACAAAAATTAGCTAGGCATGGTGGTGCAAGCCTCTGGTCCCACCTACTGGGGAGGCGAAGGTGGAAGGATTGCTTGAGCCAATGAGGCAGAGGCTGCAGTGAGCAAAGATGGCACCACTGCAGTCTAGCCTATGCAATAAAGCAAGGTCGTGTCTCAGAAAAATAAAAAATAAAATAAAATAAAAATATTTAAAGCCATGAAACTTAATGATTTCATTGAGGCAATGAATAAAAATGAACGAGGTCAAAGAACTGAAACTTTGGAGCCAGCCAACATTTAGTGGTCAGCGAGATGAAGCAAAATGAGTAAAGATGACTTGAGAAGTGGTAGACAGTGAAAAAGGAGAAAATCTAGCAGAATACGGACTCCCAAAACAAAGTAAAGACAAGTTTTTCATTTTGCTAAGAAAAGAATGAGCATATCCAAATGGAATATGGAAATGCAACTGGGTTAAAGATCAAAGCCCGCAGGATCACTCACATGTTCAAATTTAAAGCTATAATAGTTTAAATTGTATATGTTTATAATATACTTCAACTATATATACACCCACACGTATAAAATTACCTACTACCACCATCTTTCTTGTTTCTCCTGCTCTTCACATCAATATTTTAATAGAACAGCAAAATATGGTCACATTCAGAATCAATTAACACAAAAAAAAATCAAACAAGTTACAAGGAACAAGGCAAACAGGGTATGTTTCAATGAAAAAAGAACTCAAAGGTCCCAGAAATGGAAAAAAAAAGAAAAAAGGAAAGAATAGATTTGGAATGCACAGAATCAAATTTATTAAAATTCTTACATGATTCTCAGGTACAAAGCTAAGTTACTAAACAAAATTTTTTTATTTTTGTCTGACACACAGATTAAAGTTTTCCAGTATTTCCTACATAACATTAAAGGGGGAAAGGTAAAGACCAGATATGTAATTACAAATTTTTTTAAAAAAAATCACTCCCCAAATAGTACATGCTTTATTTTTTAAGATTAATATACTGGAAAAATCAAACTTTACCTCAAACTCATGGTGGTTCCAGGAGATCACATTTGCACTTCCAAGTTCTCTGTCAATATTAAATGCTCTCATTTCAGATTCAAGAGTATCTTTCAGTTCTTCTCGTGTTTTGAAATTCCAAATAAGGTTTGACCTGGCATGGTCTTGACCAAACCTAGACATACATATAATGAGGAAATAGCAGGATGCACTAAGCATTTTAAAAAATCTATAAATATCCCTTACTGACCTTATAATAAGCAAAAAAAAAAAAAAAAAAGGGGGGGGGGGGAATAGATTTTAGCAAATGTAAGTAAAGAAAATAAAATCTGTGTAAAGGAAGTAGAGTAAAACATTAATGACAGAATCTTGGTGGTAGGTATACAGATATTCACTGCAAAATTCTTTTACCTTTTGTATGTTTGAAAGTTTTCATAATAAAAAGTTGAGGAAAAAAAGGAACCTAAACTATGAAACAAATCTGTGTGAATTAAAAAAAAAAACACCTGATATTTCAACTTCAATGTTTATTGCTAATACAAATTTCAGTCAGAAAACAATTCTACTGGCCAGGCGCAGTGGCTCCCACCTGTAATCTCAGCACTTTGGGAGGCCGAGGCAGGAGGATCATGAGGTCAGGCGTTCGAGATCACCCTGGCCAACATGGTGAAACCCCATCTCTACTAAAAATACAAAAAATTAGCTGGGTATGGTGGCACATGCCTATAATCCAAGCTACTTGTGAGGCTGAGGCTGGAGAGTCGCTTGAACTCGGGAGGCAGAGGTTGCAGTGAGCCAAAATCACGCCATTGCACTCCAGCCTGGGCGACAGGGTGAGACTCCATCTCAAAAAACAAAAAACAAACAAAAAAAAACACCACAATTCTCTTGTCAGATACAAAACTTTAGGTTGGGGAGATAAGAACTGCTGGACTTCTGGGTAAAGCATATGGAATCAGCAACAATCTATATATGTTAGGACTTTACAGACTACCCAAGAAAGAATACTGCAAACTGCCAAGCTATGACTGAGCATTTTCAAAGTATCTTCCTCATATGCTTGGAGTAATTATTGTAAAACATTTGGGCACAAGTCTAACTGGGGATGAATGGGTTTCACATATGCTTACTTTCAAGTCTGCAATCCTCCTAGAAAGTCTCATTTCAGAGTTCCAAGGAAGTTCTATGGGGCGCAACACAACTGAGAGAGAAATCCAAGGCATATACTTAAGGATATACTATGTACATACTGTATACTTTAAAAGTAGTGTGGGGGAGTTTTCAAAGGACATATTTTTCTTTATTGGCCAAGGTATAATTGAAATGTCAGTTTCCAGAGTGAGTACTGTGAGTTATCTTAAAGAAGCTTTGCAAACTCCCCAAAATGACTGTTTCCCTGTCCTGTGTGTGTGTATGTGTGTGTCCAGGAAGGGGGTGCAGGGTAAGGGTGAGATTGGTAGATAAAAAGAGGGAAGAGGTTACCACATTTGATAGGAGGGAAGGTCCTCCTATCAGCTAACTTGGACACTCACTTCTCACAAGTCTTATGTTATCATCTGCCTCTTTTAAGACTCCATTTCCATCTAGGAAGTATGCAATTATTTCTAAGCCTGTAATGAAGTATTTTTAAAATAAGCATCTCTAAGCCTTAATAAAGTCTTTAATGTAATTTTAGTTCCTCAGACTATCACTCTATGAAAAGCCTTAATTTTAGGAGCATCTCTAGTCACCCCAATCTTAACAGTTATAGTTCCTGAACTTGATGGCATAAAAATACATGTGGCATAAAGCAACAGTTTCAGGGAAGAAGAACGTGTCATGATGCCTCTCATGGCAATACTAAATTTAATCTTTATTGGAAAAGAGACCTAAAGTTTACCTATAATAGAAGAGATCCCAATTTGCTTCTATTTTTATTCTTTGTCTTCTCTTTCGAAGAACCACTGGCTTCTGATTTATATTCTGGAACAGAAAAAAACTTCATAGTGCTCAATCTGGGGCTACCAAATAGGCTTAGTCAGAAGATCATCAATTTATACGTGATGAGAAACATTTCTTTCATCAAATTTTGACAGAAACAAAAATTAACGGAATAAATAAAATCTATAAAACATGAATATAAATACAGGATATTAAATTATATCACATATAATAATTTGACAGCATATATTTCTATAGTTACTCAAGTATTTTCCATGTAGCCTAAAGCTGTTTCAACACCAAATTTTGTTAAAGTTTACAGTGATTAATAAAATTTAAAATAGTCAAAAACAGTGACTTGTTTCAAACATTTACATGCAGTTAACACAAAAGCCTTGGGACAACAATAAATGCAAAAGATTACAGGTTGTTAAAGTGCTACCAAAGCCAAGAGGAGCAAGTACAAATTGAAATAGCTAATGGAGAAGAAATGTGTCTACATTCAAACACATGTGAAGTTAAGACTTGAATTTATTAAACAGAGAATATCAAAGATGACTCCACATGCCAGGCAGCTTAATGCATTTCACACACGTAGCAGGAACTTACACTCACCATATTGTTTTTGTCCTGAATTTAATCGTAAAAAGGAAAAAAAGTTAAAGAAAATAAAAAGAGAATGAGCCTAGATCTGCTAAATTATATCTATTACACATCAATACAAAATTATCTTTACTTTAAGACTAAAATAGGTGCACCTGCTTCTCTAAGCCTGTGACTCAAATTTTAGGCAGTCATAAACCCTTTGAGAATTCAAAGAAAGCTATGGCCCCTGTTTCAGAGATAGGCACATACTTAAGGCTGCAACTGGAAGAGAAGATTTCAAGAATTCTTAAAGTCTGTACATGGACCAGAGGTTAAGAATCTCTGCTCCAGCCCTCTCCCTCTGTCTCCCTCTCCCCACGGTCTCCCTCTCATGCGGAGCCGAAGCTGGACTGTACTGCTGCCATCTCGGCTCACTGCAACCTCCCTGCCTGATTCTCCTGCCTCAGCCTGCCGAGTGCCTGCCATTGCAGGCACGCGCCGCCACGCCTGACTGGTTTTGGTGGAGACGGGGTTTCGCTGTGTTGGCCGGGCCGGTCTCCAGCCCCTAACCGCGAGTGATCCCGCCAACCTCAGCCTCCCGAGGTGCCGGGATTGCAGACGGAGTCTCGTTCACTCAGTGCTCAATGGTGCCCAGGCTGGAGTGCAGTGGCGTGATCTCGGCTCACTACAACCTACACCTCCCAGCCGCCTGCCTTGGCCTCCCAAAGTGCCGAGATTGCAGCCTCTGCCCGGCCGCCACCCCGTCTGGGAAGTGATGACCGTCTCTGCCTGGCCGCCCATCGTCTGGGATGTGAGGAGCCCCTCTGCCTGGCTGCCCAGTCTGGAAAGTGAGGAGCGTCTCCGCCCGGCCGCCATCCCATCTAGGAAGTGAGGAGCGCCTCTTCCCAGCCGCCATCACATCTAGGAAGTGAGGAGCGTCTCTGCCCGGCCGCCCATCGTCTGAGATGTGGGGAGCGCCTCTGCCCTGCCGCCCCATCTGGGATGTGAGGAGTGCCTCTGCCCGGCCGAGACCCCATCTGGGAGGTGAGGAGCGTCTCTGCCCGGCCGCCCCGTCTGAGAAGTGAGGAGACCCTCTGCCTGGCAACCACCCCGTCTGAGAAGTGAGGAGCCCCTCCGCCTGGCAGCTGCCCCGTCTGAGAAGTGAGGAGCCTCTCCGCCCGGCAGCCACCCCATCTGGGAAGTGAGGAGCATCTCCGCCCGGCAGCCACCCCGTCCGGGAGGGAGGTGGGGGGGGGTCAACCCCCCGCCCGGCCAGCCGCCCCGTCCGGGAGGGAGGTGGGGGGTCAGCCCCCCCGACCGGCCAGCCGTGCCATCCGGGAGGGAGGTGGGGGGGTCAGCCCCCCGCCCGGCCAGCCGCCCCGTCCGGGAGGTGAGGGGTGCCTCTGCCCGGCCGCCCCTACTGGGAAGTGAGGAGCCCCTCAGCCGGGCCAGCCACCCCGTCCAGGAGGGAGATGGGGGGGTCAGCCCCCCCACCCGGCCAGCCGCCCCGTCCGGGAGGGAGGTGGGGGGGTAAGCCCCCCGCCTGGCCAGCCGCCCCGTCCGGGAGGGAGGTGGGGGGGTCAGCCCTCCGCCCGGCCAGCCGCCCCGTCCGGGAGGTGAGGGGCGCCTCTGCCCGGCCGCCCCTACTGGGAAGTGAGGAGCCCCTCTGCCCGGCCAGCCGCCCCGTCCGGGAGGGAGGTGGGGGGGTCAGCCCCCCGCCCGGCCGGCCGCCCTGTCCGGGAGGGAGGTGGGGGGATCAGCCCCCCGCCTGGCCAGCCGCCCTGTCCAGGAGGGAGGTGGGGGGGTCAGCCCTCCGCCCGGCCAGCCGCCCCGTCTGGGAGGTGAGGGGCGCCTCTGCCCGGCCGCCCCTACTGGGAAGTGAGGAGCCCCTCTGCCCGGCCAGCCGCCCCGTCCGGGAGGGAGGTGGGGGTGTCGGCCCCCCGCCCGGCCAGCCGCCCCGTCCGGGAGGGAGGTGGGGGGGTCAGCCCCCCCGCCCGGCCAGCCGCCCCGTCCGGGAGGTGAGGGGCGCCTCTGCCCGGCCGCCCCTACTGGGAAGTGAGGAGCCCCTCTGCCCGGCCACCACCCCGTCTGGGAGGTGTGCCCAACAGCTCATTGAGAACGGGCCAGGATGACAATGGCGGCTTTGTGGAATAGAAAGGCAGGAAAGGTGGGGAAAAGATTGAGAAATCGGATGGTTGCCGTGTCTGTGTAGAAAGAAGTAGACATGGGAGACTTTTCATTTTGTTCTGCACTAAGAAAAATTCCTCTGCCTTGGGATCCTGTTGATCTGTGACCTTACCCCCAACCCTGTGCTCTCTGAAACATGTGCTGTGTCCACTCAGGGTTAAATGGATTAAGGGCGGTGCAAGATGTGCTTTGTTAAACAGATGCTTGAAGACAGCATGCTCGTTAAGAGTCATCACCAATCCCTAATCTCAAGTAATCAGGGACACAAACACTGCGGAAGGCCGCAGGGTCCTCTGCCTAGGAAAACCAGAGACCTTTGTTCACTTGTTTATCTGCTGACCTTCCCTCCACTATTGTCCCATGACCCTGCCAAATCCCCCTCTGTGAGAAACACCCAAGAATTATCAATAAAAAAATAAATTAAAAAAAAAAAAAAAAAAAAAAAAAAAAAGAATCTCTGCTCCAAATGAAACCCATGTATATACATCAGATATGAAAACTCTAATCCTCATTGTGATAGAAACAAAAAGTAGAAAGTGGTATAGATTAAAACACGGAAGTCTGTAATTTCATTAAAGTGCAAAAAAACCCCAGACTAGACGACATAGAAAGAAAAAAGGTAAAATAAATTTTAAAAGATATTATTTCAAATATAAACCCTAAAAGTTATATAAGAAAATGTTTCCTACAAATTTTAATTCTGTGCACTATCATGAAAACTAATGCAAAGTGGCTTGAATAAAATATATAAATAATTCAAAATTTGGTTTAATGACAAATCTTTTCCTAAACTTTCTAATTAAGAAGTACTTTCTTCAATCCCTCCTCCCCGCCAGGACAAAAGGCTGGCAGTCCAGAGTAATAAAAATGTAAATGCTATACAGAAAAAGGACAAAAAGCTCTCCATAAACTAAGTGACTGAATTGGAGACTCAGGCTAACAGCTCTAACTAGCTAAACAAATCCCTTAACTGAAAATAACAAAGAAAAAGCAACCTTATACATTAGCCAAAGGTTACTACTAATCCAGCACAGAGCATCAGCTGCAAATGGAACTGACTTCATAAACATTGACTATATAAGAAATGCAGATTGTTTCAAGAATCGCCAGTTAATCTTGACAATGATTAGTTTTCAGACTCTAACTACAGCATAAGATCATTCCAAACTTTGATGTTAGTGTTTCTATTAATAAAATAGTCACAAAGATTATTTGCTGTTCCCTAAAGAAATTACTGTTAAAAATAGTACCCACGCAGAAAGGGGATAAGCCATTGATGCTAACCAAAAGATCTTCTTGACCAACATTTATCTGGCATCATTATTTGCTCAAAACTTTAGTAATACCCCATGTAAATGATACCAACAAACCAGTAAAACTTTTATATTAAAAATATCCTTTTCCCTCTCAATTGTTTTAAAATAGCAGATTTTTATCCATAGTTTTAGCTAAGACTAGAGCTTTGTGTTCATGCTTATGCTGGATAAATGTTACATATGAAGTCTGATGCCAAAAACTTATCTACAGTATGATAATTATATTCAACAGCTTGAAAGAACTGTTATTTTAGAAATCGGTTTAACTACCTGAAGCCAGGAGCTTGTAATTTTTAATAACTGTGAAAATCATTCATATCTGTAGATTTTTCAACTGTTCAAATGCTATACCAGTATTATCCTGACCATATATGTATATAGTGCCTTTACTATTATTTTGCTTGTATATCAAAAAAACCCTATAAGATAGAGAAGGGAGGTATTGTTATTCCGATTTATGAAAGAGGAAAGTAAGGTTCTAAAAACCGTAACTTGGATTAACAAGTGATGAAACTAGGCTCAGAAGTTAACCAACTCAAAGTTCAGTATTCTCTTTACTATACTACATAGTCACTTGAAAGCCTAATGATTCTTTATATTGAATATATCACTTATATAAATTAGCAGTAATCTATTATTCTGGAGCTCTAAAGAATTGAACATTGATCCCAATTTCAGATAGATACACAAGACTATAATATTTGTTCTGCTATGCTTACGTATTCTGGTAATCCATAAGAAACCCACTTGTTTTAGAAAGATATTAAAGTTATTTTCCTTGAATATGGCAATAGCTACCATAAGTAAGGAGAAGATTAAGGAGAAACAATGTATGTGTGATCAACAAAAACTGAGATCAAGATTGCTTCTACAGGACATCTCAATTCATACTCAACCACTGCCAAACCCATTATAGATAGAAGAATGCATTACTGAATCAGGTTCTGTAGAACACACTGCATGCTGAAGAATGAGACTAAAACTGTTTTAGATCTAACTTTGATTTGAGAAACAAATATTACAAAATTTAAGTACGCACAATAAATTGAATTTAAAATGTGAATCTTAATCTCCAAAACACTTGTCTGGCTAGTTCTGAATAAAAAGGCTAACAGGAAGAGCACCTTTATTTTTATAGGTGCAAAACAAAGTCCAGAGAAGAAGGGAAGAAAATAAATACATATGAATAAAAAAGAACAAAAACTGGAATGGAAGAAAAATTAAGAGTGGAATTCTATATTAAATACCAAAATAAAAACCTAATCATCAACTCATAAAACTATGAACTAAGGAAAATGTATACAAAAATATGAATTAGAAATTAGGTACCATTCGGCCGGGTGCGGTGGCTCACGCCTGTAATCCCAGCACTTTGGGAGGCTGAGGCAGGCGGATCACGAGGTCAGGAGATTGAGACCATCCTGGCTAACACGGTGAAACCCCATCTCTACTAAAAATACAAAAAATTAGCCGGGCGTGGTGGCGGGTGCCTGTAGTCCCAGCTACTCGGGAGGCTGAGGCAGGAGAATGGCGTGAACCCAGGAGGCGGAGCTTGCAGTGAGACGAGATCGCTCCACTGCACTCCAGCCTGTGCAACAGAGCAAGGCTCTGTCTCAAAATAAATAAATAAATAAAATAAAAAAGAAAGAAATTAGGTACCATTCATTTTTAAGCTTCAGGTATTCAGCAAGAAATGTATCGATACCATCTCTGTGAACAGCAGGAACTAAAGTAGACTAGGACACACAGAAGTGCCAGGAATTTGGAAGCAAATTTTATTTTTACCTCTTTTTGAGCAATGCCCATCCTATCCCTCCAGTGCATCAATACAAGATCCACTTTTTCTTTGGCAAATTTTTCAACTTCTTTAGCAGCTTTTCCAGCTAGTCTTTGCCACTCTGGAACTTTATTAAATTTTCCATACTGATCCTGTAAAATAATGTTGGAATCCATTACATGCCTGTTTGCAAATTTATTTTAAAACTCTATGTAAAGCTGAGTCATTCTATCTATTTTATAAGGTTAATGCTGGATGTTATGGTTCAGTGAAGAAACAAACTGAAAACTTCTACAATTATACTTTTTATCCAAGAAACTAACTTTTCTACTTAGGTTTCAAGATGATTCTTTTATGAGGGGTGGCAAGATGCAAGTGGGAGCTGGGTGCAGACAGAGAAGGAGTGATGACAGAAAAAGAATACACGTAAGAAATTATTATAGTAGTGTATCATAAAGATGTTTAATTTTTCCATGGATGGCCCAACCTTATAATTAACATAGATCTTGTAAGGAAAAAAACCCTACCTATAACTTTTTTCATGGTTGGCCGTTTTTACCAACAACATTTATCAATCTCATATGTGCAAAATACCATATTTACACACTTACTGGTACTCCAGAACGTACCAATAAGTTGAATTAGAGAAACAAAACACAGAATAAAATGACCACTATTCATAACATTAATTTGTGGTGATAGCTGCACAACTCTGTAAATATACCACAAATTATTTAATTGTATACCTTAAAAAGATGAATATTATGGGATGTAAATTTTACCTCAATAAAGATATCAATAGTTAAGTATACTATTCAATGCAATGAATTCTTTGTTTCTAAAATTTTTAACGTGTTTCAAAAAAAGACATATATATAACAGTACCCTTACTCCTAAAAAAGGCACACTTGGGACAGTCATATTTACCATTGCTATTTTCACATTGTCTCTAACATGCATCCGATCAGCATCCTTCTCAGGTACGAGATCTGAGCTTTCCAAGTATGCCAGCAAGCCTGGCGGCTAAAAACACAAAATCCATTTTCAAAACAATGTGAAAAAGAAAATTTAGCCTTAAAAACCCAAATAAATTAATACTGTGGCTTAGCTATTGAGGGTAAAACTTTACGGTAACTCCTATGATAAATAACTTTTCAATAAAAAACAAACCATCCCCTTTTAA
Organism: Homo sapiens; assembly: GCF_000001405.40. NCBI lineage: Eukaryota > Metazoa > Chordata > Mammalia > Primates > Hominidae > Homo > Homo sapiens. The sequence goes on along the minus strand of NC_000003.12, from coordinate 132,466,138 downwards.
CAGTACAGATAACTTGTTCAATTAAATTTTATTAGGCAGTATATAACCTAATTTCTCAACTGACTTACCAAAATGCGTTTCAACAAGTTTGTTGCAGTTGCATTATCAGCTGTCCAGAGTCCCACTAAATGTCTACTTAGCTGTCTGAAAAAAGCAGACGTTGAGAAAGGTTTGCTGCTTTATCTCAGCTAGAACAGAAAGGAATTTTTAAGAACAAAATATCACATAATTATAAAAAATACGGCTACAGTAAAAAAATCATTCCGATGTTAAAAATAGTTATTAAAAAATTTAATGTGGAGAGTTATAATTCAAATATTACTAATATTTTGGAATTTTCTAAAAATTAAAATGTTTTCCTAATAAACATACACTCATTTTCAATAAACCCGAACAGGAAAAAAGTAGGTTTTTATCCCACTTAAAGGAAGAAAAAAAACAACAAAAACAATTAGATTTGATGACACAATTAATTTGTTTAACCAGTCCTACTAATATAGTGACAATGGCATCCTGGCATTTTTTGGAATTCTGAACAAGCAGAAGTCAACAACTGTTCTAATATAACCGTTTTGGCAAGATCAGAGAGAAAATTATTTTCACTTCTAGAGTTTGGGCAAAGACCTAAACCACTTATAGCAAATTATTCAACTCATCTCACTTAAAAGCTATAAAAGTATATTTTAATTCAAAGTAAAAATCTAAGATCCAAGTTCAATCTATGGTTTAGTCATTTACTAATTTTAATCCCCATTCAACACCTGTCACCTTAACTGAAAGCTCCTCATAAGTAGAAACCCTATTTTACCCACCAGTGACCCTTCTGTGCTTTGGTGGGGATTCAATTACCATAGCTATAAGAATGGTCATGAAACCTATGAGGGAAATATCCAAATAACCACCCACAAACATATGTTTTATATATGTTACATTACTGAAGAACAAAATTTAACTGCAAAACCCAAAATATACTTTGTCACCAGAAAGTGAACGCCACTAAAACTGTTCATTCCTGTGCCAATTTGAAAGCTAACATATTGAAGTAATTAAACTTGTAATTTCCTTCACTGGCATTTGGTAGGTTATCATATCAGTGACTCCTAAAAAGGCTTTAGTTAGGGACAAAAGAGATAACATTTTATAACAGCAATTTGTAAAAGATAAAGCAATGCAAATAGAGTGATATTTCTATTATACATTGACAGATCTTTAACAGTGTAATTCAAATATTACTAACCTTTTGGAATTTTCTCCAAATTAAAATGCTTCCCTAATACACTAATTGATCACAGTAGGGAATTTAACTGGTTAACTATACTGAAGAGAAACACAACAAGCAAGCATTTAACATGGGGAGGGGTTAATGGAATAAGCTATCAATAGTCTCTAATGAAAGATGGTGTCTAGCACTGCTAATAAGACAATACTAGGAAAACATCCTTATTATCTTTATCCTCTAAGACTAGTTTTGTTCTTAACACAAGTGAGGGAGGTAGTTTCTTCTAATAGTATAAACAGTAAAAAAAAAATCCCTGGCAAGGCAGCATACCATGATGTATAATAACTGCACATAGATGACAAAGAAAATGTACAGTATTGTAACAAACTAAACGTTTAACTCAGCAACTTATGCTATTATTTAAAAAGTCAAAAAATAAAATTAAAACTATTTATGATACTGTTTTTACTAATATGAGTCATAATATAGTATGCTTAAGATAGCTGAAAGGGTCACATGTTAGAAACCACAAAGAGGGTTAAAAAGGGCTGGAATTCATGTAGTGTGGAATAAGTGAATAAATTTATGTGTTTATATTTGAATGACTATCAGGAAAAAGGGAATCATTTAATTACAAGAGATTTAGGTTAAGTCTAGCTTAGGCTGGATATGTAAGGTTTTCTGTGGTTTTTAAAGTAGAGTATTTGACCAAAGATATTTAAAAATCAACTATGTGAGGTTTTCCCATGGGGTCATGTGCATGCAAGATGGTCACAGGGATATAAGGAGAAAAGACCTGAGCATGTGGTTCTAGTTCCATAAGCTTTTAAGTACCCTTTTCCATATTGGTCCCATGACTATGGTGTCAGGGCCTGATAATAGGTCGGGGAAAAAAAGTAAACAGTGTTTCCCTCCAGGTTTTCCATAGGCAGGGACAGTGATCACTTGGGCAAAATCCTTCTGTAAGGAAAGGAAAAGAACTAGGTGGATCAAAAGAAAATGTATTATTTGTGTAATACAAACACATTTAGTTTTATGTAACATCTGAATCAATTCTCTAGACAGGAAGTTAAATTGCAGCAAATTGAATTAAATCACCTACCTATTTGTAAGCATCCTTTGATCTGAGCTTATTGTAAACATCGCAGTATGCAAGTGTCGAGGTAAGGCACCTTCACTTAGGGCAAGCTCCTGCATTTTTGTAGCAATTTCTTTATCACCTTCCTTTGGAAAAAGGGTAAGATGATCCCTAAGGTGGCAATCCAGGACAAGCTATCCAAACTTTAAAAAACTAATTTTACATATTTAAATGAAAAAAACATTCAGTATGTAATAGAAGTTTTTAAAATGCATCTTCTAATCACCCAAAAAAAAATAGGTGAGTAGTAGCACAGGTAATTTTTAAACCTTTGGAATAAGGTTGAGATGTTTCCAGACAAATTTACCTCATAAACTATGCTTTGCTAAACTTAATATTAAAACTAGGTTCACTCCCTCTGTGTATAGCTGCCAACAAAAAGGAGAGGCTTGGCTATCGCAAGCTCTGTAAAAGATGGGCACTTTGGAAGCTAACATTGAGCAAAGAACCCATTAGCTAAAGGGAGAAAATTAGCCTTTGGCTGTATATGCACACTAAAAATGCAAATAAACTTTGATGTTCCATTCAGTTCAATGCCTATATATATTTACAGCTACTTAAGGGCATACTAATTCTGTGATTAATTGTGTGCTATACTTATGCACAATAAATGAATTTTTTGGTAAAAGGAGACTTTCTTCAATTGTATTCAAATTGCTTCTATGACAACAAAATACAAGAATTCAAAAGCCATTTAGACTGATGTCATTGTAATCATCATAGTATGCAACAGACATTCATAGCTACAACCTTTTAAAAAATATAGAAGCATAAAGCAACTATCTTAAAGAAGCAGTATCTTCGACAAGATCATGCTCCAATCTCTAGAGCTCAATTACAAATATGCTTTATCAAGAACTTTTTGTTGCCTTTCTTACTTGGTATCATTTTGGTATGAACTAACTCCATCAATAGATTTCTATACAAGCTCAGTATCTCAAGACTTCAACACTGTCAACATTATCCTTCCAAAAAAGAGCAACAGATAGAATGCTAACTTTTAAGTAAGTAAAATAAACAAATAATGCAGTAACAGATTTATTTGCTCTACAACTTCACTATGAAATTAAAACTTTTATTATTGAGGATTATTTCTGTAACAAGTTTAAAACTAATTTATAATAAAGATTTAAAATTACTTTTCTTACCCAGAGAAATGTTTATTTCCCAAAAAGACTGAAAGGCAATATTGTCAACTTCAATTAAAACAGCCTATCAACATTCAAGTAAGGTTAAAATTTCAAAATTGTTCTCTCACCTCTATTATTGCCTTCATAACCAACCCAGCTCCTTTTATTATTGCCATGGAAGGATGCTTTAAAGTGAGGGGGAAAAAGTATCAAAAAATAAAAAAGAATTTTATTCCAACACATTTAGCTGTTACTCTTAAGAAGGGTATACATTTTTACACAAGGTATAAGCCACAAAATTAGTAAAGGATACATCTCAAAGTCAGTTTGGTTAAATATTTTAGGTATTTTTACAATATAGCCTTAGAGATACAGACACATAAACAAAGAATTTACATTAGTAGGAAACAGAAGGCATCTATTTGAATAATTATAATTATTTGAATGATACATATCAATGATACTAAAATAATAAAAATATAAACATCATATATACATACATGTATCTAATAAGTACTATAGTACTGTATAAAATAACAAATGTTTTCCAGTGTTTATGAAGAGCCCTGCTAAAGCTCATTTTATCATTTGGGAATTTGTAAAGAAAAGGGAACTTTGGGCCTACCACAGAAAAATGAGTTTTTCACTACTAAAATGGAGGCCAGGTGTGGTGGGTCATGTTTGTAATCCCAGCACTTTGGGAGGCTGAGGCAGGAGGATCGCTTAAGCTCAGGGGCATGAGAACAGCCTGGGCAACAAAGGGAGACCCCGTCTCTACAAAACAAATAAATAAATTAGCCGGGTTTGGTAGCATGTGCCTGTGGTCCCAGCTACTCAGCAACTGAGGTGGGAAGATTACTTGAGCCTGGGAGGCTGAGGCTGCAGTGAGCTGTGATTGCATCACCGCACTCCAGTCTGGGCAACAGAACAAGACCTTCACCTCAAAAAATAAATAAAATAAAATAAAATAAAAAAGCAAGATATAGAAAATGGGCAGAGTGTCAAAACAGCAGTGAACACCCATCAATGGGACTCTACATGAAACACCAAGAAATCTGTACACTCAAAATGTACCAATATGATAATGTACTAGGTGCATTTATTCGTCAATATTATAGATCAAGCTTGTCCAACCCGCAGCCTACATGGATGCTTATATTTATTCAAAGCTAACCCAGGATGGCTTTGAGTGTAGCCCAACACAAATCTTAAACTTTCTTAAAAACATTTTTGCAATTTTTTTTTCTTTTAGGTCATCAGATATTGTTAGTGTTAGTGTATTTTATGTGTGGCCCAAGACAACTCTTCTTTCAGTGTGGCCCAGGAAAGCCAAACGACTGGACACCTCTGCTATAGAAGTATGCAAATGTTATCTTAGAAACAGTGATCCTAAAAGCGGTTCCCTTAAATTCACTGTTATCTGACAAGAAAAATACAAGCTCTCACCTGAAAAAGTTTAAAAAGGGTTCTTCCATTGGATGCTACCATCTCCAAGAGCATATCAAACTGCTGCCCTTCAGTTGTCTCACTATATGGAGCACAGAGGGCAAAGGTAAGGAAGTCCAAGAGCGAACTAATAACTAGGGCACCAGTCCCATGATCCTGAAACAATGCAACAGATTCTCTTAAAGACTTAAGAGATGGGGACCTTCAGTTAAATTTTAACAATAATGTGTTCCTTTCTGTTATTCTATATGTCAGACATCAACATTGACTTTAATTTCTCAACATGAGGTTCAAAGTTGGATGACTCTTTAGTACTTGCTTTTGCTCATATAGTGAATCCATTATCCATCATACCTCAAAAGGAACAATTAAAATTCAAATTTCAAGAGTATAACCAAGACTTCTCAAATGTGTATAACAAAGGTTAATATTTGCAAAAAATAATATTTGACAATATTTGCAAAACTCTGGCAATCTGCTTATGTTCCTTCAAGATGCTATAGAATGCCCATCTCCAAAATTGTTATCAGGGACTGAGGAACAAAGATTTGGCTTAATTTTTTTTAGAGCAGTTTATTTCCTAATGATATTTTTAAAGAAAGAAAAAACAAAAATTTGGAGTATCCCTGTGAAAATCTAAAGGCTTTGACATCTATCCTTCCCAGGTGAATGGATATAGTCCTAAGACAAAATATTTTATTATCAGTGACCAAGCTGAACTGTGACCAATACTGACCAAAGCTGGGGGCTACAATAAAAAAAAAAAAAATCATCCACGTGGCACTTCTAGAATATCTTTCAATAATGGTATGGTATCTACCATGAAGACAAATTTAATTATAACTTACCACATGGGAATTAAATTTCTCCAGTAAGTTTTCCAGAAACTTCTTTGACGAGAGAAGAGAAGCTTTGTTCAACTGTTCTTGTCTTAAGTCATAGTCATCATGCATGGGCTATTGATGAAAAAAAAAAAACAGTGATAATTCATAAGCAGTCCCATGTGCTAGCATCACGCAAAAGTCATTTATAAACAGTATTCATTACACATTGAAAGAATTAAAAACCATTGCCTTTAAAGTGTAAGGCAAAAAGGAAACTCGTGATAAGCAGGCAGAAGTGACGATTTACCATGATTTTGATCAGACTTCACAGATAATTTGCCCAACAATTAACTCAACATATACAAAAGGTACTCTCTCAAAAGTCACAGATCTTATTAAAAGGCAAACATTTGCCCACCCAGAATTTTATAACTAAAATTTGAAATAAAACTTAGCATTTAAATGTACTAAAATTAACAACAAATACTTGTCTCAGGGTGATTTTCTTTTGAGTGTATAAAACATTCCAGCGTGATGGTTAGGAGTAGAGCTCCAATCCTAATTTTACTACTGACAATAACTGGGAGACGTTACGCAAGGTAAGTTACTTTACATAAGTCTCTAAGTTTCATTTTCCTCAGCTGTAAAGTAGGAGTAATAGTATTTATGTAACATTACTATGATGCTTAGATGAGATAATTCATGTAAGATACAAAGCCAACACCTAATATGTAATGAGGGCTCAATGTTTGTTTCATAGCATTGTTTCTTACTTTTTTTTATTGTGGTAAACTACATATAACAAAAGTTACCATCTTAACCATTTTAAATTACACTGTTCAGTGGCATTAAGCATTCACATTGTTGGGCAACCATCACCACCACCCATCGCTAGAACTTTTTTCATTTTCCCAAACTGAAACTCTGTAATCATTAAACAATAATTCCCCATTCTGCCTTCCTCCCAAGCCCCTGGCAACCACCATTCTACTTTCTGTGAATTTGACCTCATATAATTAAAATCATACAATATTTATCCTTTTGTGACTGACTTCTTTCACTAGCATCATGTTCTCAAGGTTCATCCATGTTGCAAAACGTGTCAGAATTTCCTTCCTTTTTGTTTCTGCTCATTTAGCAAATACTGTATGTTACTATGGTTAATTGTATAAACTTTGGAGCCAGAAAGTGGGCTTGAAGCCTCCTCTGCCATTTACTAGCTACATGACCTTGAACAAGTTACTTGGGCCTTAAGTCCTTCTCTACAAAATAGATATAACAGTAATAACTTCTAAAGTTCATTGGAAGACTGAATAATATATGAAAAATTCATAGAATAGTACCTGAAACACAGAAAAAAATTAATCATTATTTATTAAACAGCTTGACAAGGCCTGTTAAGGATAAAAATTAAAATTAAACATGAATATTATCCTCAGGAAGCTGACAGATTGAGAAAAATACATCATGTTTAGAAATAGCAATAATTCAAAGAAGAAATTGCTAAGAAAGACAAGTGTAATATTTATGAAGGGTAATCTCACTTCAGGGAGGGATACATCACTACCACCTTCAGGAATAAGAAAGCTCCATTTATTTTTAAAATTTTATTTTAATTGTTGTGGGTACATAGTAGGTGTGTATATTTGGTAAGCTTCATTTAAAAGCTGACTTGAGCTCTTAATGAATAAGCAGGGAAAGAATTCTGAGCAGGGAGAATACATGAAATATTAAAAAATATATACATTGGTCTCCATCCTTGGCTCCTGACATAGAGCACCTAAAACCCTTGCAGACAGGGGCACTAGCAGAATCTTTTGTTGCAACAGTCTTTTACCCTGGTTCCTGACACAGAGCTCCTAAGAACTTTGCAATTTCCTGATAGGGGAGCCTGACACAAAGCTCTCTACCATTAGAATTTCCTGGGTAATAGGAACATCTTTTGTTCGAATAAAGCAACTCTCCATATCATTGTTAAGTTCTAGTTATCTCACTACTTGTTTGGAACAGTAAATAAAATTAATTTGCTTTTGGGAATGCAAGGTTTTACAGAAGTATTTACTTATGTTTATGTACGACTAAGCTTGCCTAAAACACTTTATATAAGGAAAAGTCCCAGGTACTACACACAAAACTGAGATAATCAGAAACTTCAAAACTGTACTAAACAATTGTTTCTCCCTCTGTACAAGCTGCCACTAAGTTAGATCTTTACTGCGCAAACAGCTTTCAGGTGTGCTGCTTCTTTAGCCCTGTGACTACCCTAGCTCAGCAACTCATTTCTTACGTGACAATTTGGTCTACCTGCCTCTAATTTTACTTCTATTCTCCACATACTACCAGTGTGGGTTTTTAAAAACTCAAACCTGATCACATTACTGCTCTCTTGCTAAAAAAAATCCTTCAGGTGTTCCTTACAAAAAGATAAAAATCTAGCTCCTCCCTCCTGATACAGAAGGTTTTTTATTACTGTCTGCATACATCTCTAGCTGCAACTCCTAATTACCCCCCATCCATACCTTATAACCCAACCATATTTAATTATTTGTTGCTTTCCAAACATGCCTTTTTATATGCTATTCCCCACCCAGGAAGGCCTTTCCAGAGCTAGAAAATTCCTGCCTGTCCTTCAAGATTCAGATCAAATGTAACATCTTCCAGAAAGACTGGGTGAGAATCTTTCATCTTCCCCTCATCACCAAACAAAAATAAAGTGCTGCTTTTCAAGATCCTATGGCCCCTACTACCTTACCTTGTACAGATATGCCTACCTTACCAGACTGTCAACAAAGTGAGGAAGAAAAGAACTTCTGTCTTAAGATCTTTGAATTTCTGGCACACAGCACATTGCCTGGTATTTAGGATATGCTAAACAAAGGTTTGAGTAACTATGAGAACAATTTATGAAACAGAAACAAGAACTTATTGGTACAATGAAAATCTGGGACTGTGGAAATCAAAACCACCAGTCAACTTAAGAAAAACCAGTTTCCTTAAGAAAACTACTACTTACACACATAAGGGCACAAAGCATATCAACTGCTGCATGGATTATTCCGTTGTTGCTTCTTTTGAGTGCTTTTACTACCTTCACCCCTAGACGCTCGCGAAACCTTTTGGAACAAAAAACAAGCATATACTAGCAATACCAGAACATTTTAAATTGTTATATTATTGAAATAGATCATATTAACTTTCCATTGCACTACTGGAACAATGACGTATTTTAAATTCCACCTCTGAAATTTATCAGTCTTCATAATAGTTTTTTCTTTGAGAGGGAAAATATTTTTTAGGGTTAACTAAAACTAAAAGGCATGTAATTTCCCATTCAAATTCAAGAGTCAGTTATATTACTGGTGAGTATGGGACCAATATTCCGCTTCTGCTGCCCTCACCTTCCTTTTTCATTTCTCATGAATAAAGTACCATATCACCCTATAAAAGGTATCTGGTTTAGTCAAGGAAAAGGAGGTGAATCGTTCATTATTTGCCATTTTGAGTAGTTCAAATTCTCTAAGAGAAGTTAAGTTTCAGAAGACAACTTACTTTGGAAGCTGAGTGAAAGCCAGGAAACCAGCTTTGGATGCCACAAGCCTCCTCACAGCCTGGAACTGACTCTCAAGTTCCGCATTTGAAGCAACGACATCCCCTTCTTGGGACAGTAATGCTGTTATGGCATTATTGATCAGTTTTTCTTTGTTTTCTGAGAAGAGACCCTAGGTGAAGAAAGAGTATTTCAAAAAAGTTTCCATACCAAAAGTTAGTAACAATGAACAATTATGATAAAACTTAGCTTACATCTTGTGTTACTGCATGTAGGACTCCACTGTATGAAATATTAGCATTGAACCTGAATACAGCATCTGCAAAGTTGCCATCTGTAAAGAGATTAAGAGGTTCAAAAAGAAGATACGAATTCCTAATTCTTAAATTAAGTAGATGAGTGGAAATGTAATTACATTTAAATCAATACTTACTTGGAGGCGTAGCTAAGAACCTGAGGTGAAGGCTCTCTACTTCCTCATCAACAGGCATGCTGAGTAACCCCCATCGCTGACCTTTATGGGTTGGTGTCATTTTTACACAAACATCTCTATTACCAGAGGCTCTTACTCCATCCAGCAAACTTGCTAATAAGGAATCTCTAAGTAAGATTAAAAGTAAAAAAAGGTTTTAGCATTGATGATTAAGGGGAATTTTGATCTAGCATGAAGCATAGGCCCTTTAGCAGGTAATCTGCTCAGGGACACACTACAGTTACAATGGGAAACACAAACAGTGGGGCTTTAGGAAGAGCTCTAATACTAGCTCTTCACCGTGCTGCTACATGACCTTGTACAAGTTACTTAAACACTAATTTTAATTTCTCTTTCTCTCCCTTTAAAATTATTTTTAACAGCTTTACTCGGTTCTAATTGACAAATCACAAGTCATCCAATTAAAACGTACAGTTTGATAATTTTTAATAAATTTATACAACTGTATAATCATCATCAGTTCTGATATATTTTCATCACTCCAAAAAATTTCCTTGTGCCCATTTGCAAAAGAACACTCCCCAGCCCCAGGAAACCACTGATCTATCTCTATAGTTTTGCTTTTTAAAGAAACTTCATAAAAACAGAATTATAGAATATGTAGTCTTAGGTGTCTTGCTTATTTTACTTATCATACATAGGCTTTTGAGATTCATCCAAGTTGTTGCATGTATTAGGTCAGTCCTTTTTTATTGCTGAGTAGTATTCCATTGTATGAACAGGCAACATTTTGTCTGTTTATTCACTGGCTGATCTAGATATGGATTGCTTCTGTTTTTGGCTATGAGTAATGATATTACGAACATTCATGTGCAAGTCTCTCTGTGGGCATCTTTTCATCTCTCTTGGATAGATACCTAAAAGTGGAACTGCTAGACCATATAAGTATGTGTTTAATCTTTTAAGAAATTATCAAACTGTTTTTCAAACTGGTTTTATCATTTTACCTTCTTACCAGCAATGTATGAGAGTTCTTTTCTCCATATCCTCGCCAACACCTGCCACTGGCAGTCTTTTTGATGTTAGTCATGTTAGTGAATATGTAGTAGTTTGCATTTTCATTTCCTAAAGATTCATGATCTTTTCATGTATTAACATTCATATTTTTCCAGTGAGGTGTCTATTTCAATCTTTTGCCCATTTACTATTGGGTCGCTTGGTTTTTTTCAGTATTGAGTTGTAAGAGTTCTGTATATATTCTGGATAGAAAACCTTTATTAGCTATATGCTTTGCAAAGATTTTCTCCCTGCGATCTGTCTTTTCTTTTTCTAAATGGTGTCAAAGTTCTAAATTTTAATGAAGTCTAACTAACAACCTTTTTTTCTTCTTTTCTAGATTGTTTTTGGTATTACATCTGGGAAATCTTTTCTTAACCCCAAGTCACAAAGAAGTTGCTTTACTTTCTGCATGTAAGTGTTATTGGGAATAAGAGGACCTTCTTCCTACGGCTACTGTCAGGACAAAGCAAGATAACGTACATAAAGCATCTCACAAACAGAGTGTTAAGATCCTTCCTCTGATTAGAACATCCATACTTTTTTTTTTTAAGGTGTTCTTTTCCATTGAATTCAGGACAGGAAAAAAACATAACCATTGCTTAACATTTCAGTCTTGTTGACCTTAGACTGAAAGCTTTGTAAGGCAAGAAACAGCTATTGGTCATACTATACTACTGGAAATACTATAAAAACACTAGTTATAGGCCAGGTGTGGTGGCTCATGCCTATAATCCCAGCACTTTGGGAGGTCAAGGCAGGCGGATCACTTGAGGTCAGGAGTTCGAGACCAGCCTGGCCAAGACGGCGAAACCCCATCTCTACTAAAAATACAAAAAAAGAAAAAAAGAAAAAAATTAGCTGGGCGTGGTGGCGCACACCTGTAATCCCAGCTACTTGTGAGGCTGCGGCAGGAGAATTGCTTGAACCCGGGAGATGGAGGTTGCAGTGAGCCAAGATCACGCCATAGCACTCCAGCCTGAGTGACACAGTGAGACTCTGTCTCAAAAAAAAAAAAAAAAAAAAAAAAATTGAAAATGGGAGGGTCATTTTAAATATGCAAGAAAATGTCTTTTCCCAAATTAAATGATTTTAAATTTCTAGACTACATATCTTTGGTTTTCCTTGTTGACCAAGCACTTTGCCTTGCACAACTAGGATTTCAAAAACTTAAAAAAAAAAAAATACCTCTCTGTTGAAGAATATTTCCGTACTTGCCCTTTTATAAATTCAATGGTAAAAAGTTGTGGATTTTCTGAGTCACAGACCAACGCAAATACCTAATGAAAAAACAAAAAATAGCTTCAACAAAAAAAAGTTTATAGTTTTATAGTATTTCATTATAAAATGCATCACTTAGCTTACAAAAGTCAGTATTTTAAGATGTGACTTGTTTACAATATAAGAGTTTAAAACTTTAAAATCTCAAATTTTCAGTTGAGTAATAAGTTCCATTCTTTATATACTTGGAAAATAACTTTTGTAATAATCATTGTTCTATGATCAATTAATATAAATATGTTAAGAGTTAAATACAGATTCTGTCCATTCCATATTCTTTAGCCATGAGTAAACATTAAAATAGAAAGAAAATTATCCTAATTTATCAATAGAAAGAAATCTCATTTAAGCTAACAATGCTGAAACTTACTTCTCCTAAAGGCTTCAATGTTGCAATATTATAGGTTGCCGGATCACGTTCTACTAAACATGTTTCTGTAAGTGCTAGAACTCTTTTAACAGGCTCCTTCAAAAAATAAAATTGAGACATATTAAGAAGTTATTTTTTAAAACGTCAAAATCAGGTGAACAAATTTTCATTTTTAACATATGGGTCTTACCGAATGTCTAGGTGATATTTTTTGGACTACAAACTCTGCTAAAGATGTGATGGATTCATCAGTGCTGTATTTTCCAAAGCGAAGATTCAAATATTGCTCGAATTCTAAAGGCTCTTTCCTGATCCGCAATGAAATACCTATGTAGTTACCAGCATGGTCTATTGCACTTTTAATAATCTCTTCTCTTTGCTCTGACGCAAATAAATGCTGCACAAATTTAGAAATTTAAAAAGTCAGAGTTGAAACAACTGAAATGTGTCTGTAGCTAATCAACTCATAGGAAAGGTATTAAAGTAGCAATTCTAGAGAAAAAAGAGGTAGGTATTAGAGGCAAATAAGCAGTTGTTTCAATGAAAAGACTATTACTAAATTAAAATAATAAAGTCTGGGATACAGAGCTTTGCAACTAACTCACTGAACGGCAATTATCTCAAAATTTCTCAGGTTCTGGTTCTCATCACCTTGTGCAAAACAGCATGCTGGGTCTTCCAAGAAGGGCCTCCAAGGAACCCCAGCCAAGCCACTGGGGGTGATGGGTACTGTGTGGGCAGGATTCCCAGTTTCAAACAACGCAGCTCTGATTTAATCTGTTTTACACAGTAGGCTTCTTTGCAAGATGATGCTGAAGAATGTTTAAATGTTTACAAGTCATTGGCCTACCGATGTTACAAACCAACTTTCTGGGCTCTATTTACAAAGGTAAGGGAACAGGCTACAGGATGAGTATCTGTTATTTGAAATGCTTGGGATCAGAACTATTTCAGACTTCAGAGTTTTTCAGCATTTGGAATATTTTCATTACACTTACCAGTTGAGCATCCCAAATCTGAAAATCCCAAATCTGAAATGCCCCAACAAGCATTTCCTTTAAGCATCATGTTGGCACTCAAAAAGTTTCCGATTTTGGAACATTTTGAACTTCCAGATTTGGTATGCTCAACCTGAACTTGCATTTGGTGTCTAGAGGCCAGAAATGCTCAATGTCCTGTAAAGGGCAGAGTAGGAGTGTCCCACACAAGAAAGAATTGTCCTCCTCAGAATGTCAACAGCTCCCCTGCTGAGAAACACTGGATCACATCGTGTTTAAGAACCTGGTTTTATTCCTAGCAGCTTTTTATAGTCACCATAGATGCAAAAGGTATTAGATAAAGGTTTGTTGAATAAATCTGGTATAGTACCATATTTATAGTGAATTGATTCATTTTAGCTAGTGTCTTACAGTGAGAAAGTGGATTAATTCAAATGAAAACTTCTTGCTGCCCCCAAGTAATACAAAATGTTGGCAATAAGAAGAGTATGAAACAATTTTCATCCTTAACGTTTACCTTATTATTCCATTTTATGGCTTGGTTGAATTACTGTGATACAGTTATCCTATTAAGGCCTGACAGGCCATATTCTTGTAATCAGGTATCTTTACCAACAAGATGTTAAACATTCCAAATTACCACTGACCAGGGAAGAGACAGTCTATGGATAGCACTAAGACAGCAGGCTTTGGGCTGGGAGAAGGGCCTTCATCTTTTGGGTCAAGCCTCAGAGGTAACACACAGAGGTTTACCTGTATGTTCCTAGATGAGGGAAACTAGGATGGTACCCATCAAGTGGGGAAAGAGTAAAATCTAAGATGGAAAAAGGCCTGTAACTCTGAAGAACCAACTATATTTCTACATCAGATTATCTAGCCCCCATCATTGTTTATTTCCCTTTTGCTAACATCTACTATCTTATATATGTAAAAGTTCAACGCTTGCTTTGGCTCTGCTACCAACAGAACGATATTTTATCTACAAAACACTAAAAATTGAAGGAGCATTCCCGGAACACTAAGGTAGCTACAAGAATTAAAATTTTCAAGAGAAAGGAATTTTGCAATTAAGTTCAAATGAGTCTCTCCATTTGGAGACTTTCTCTACCGCACATCTTTGAGACAGAAAGGCAGGATGTATCTTAAAAAAAAATAGTTATATATACTTCAGCTTCTATTACTGATTAACAGGGTTCTCAGCACCTTAAGTAGCTTCTGTTATACCCCATAATTTACTTATATATAATTCTGAATTTCAGAACAAAAACACGCAATGAATTCCAGATTGAAGTTTCAATGCATACTCAGATTTCAGATTATAAACAGCCAGGCAAAGGATGAAAGATTCTCAAAAAGTAAGTGATTTTAAATTACTTTTTTCATTTTTTTTTCCTTTTTGTGCAGAACAAGGTCTCACTATGTTGCCAGGCAGGTCTCAAACTCCTGGGCTCAAGCTATCCTCCTAACTCTGCCTCCCTAAGTGCTGGGATTATAGGTGTGAGCTGCCATGCCAGGCTTAAATTACTTTTTCAAAGAAAGCTTAGAAACTTTTTGGTAAGACAGTAATACCAATGAAAATAACAACTGTAGTCACTGTTTACCGTACTAAGCCATCCATTGTGTGTAAAGCATTTTACATAAATTATCTCACCAGATCCTCACTCTCCTCATTTTGGAAAGCAGCAAACTGGGATTCAAGCTCAGGTATCTTTGATACCAAAACCTGGACTATTATACTTCCTTCCAGAGGACTCACGTGAAATTTCAAAATGAAGTATAAAAAGCTTTGCTTTCCTTCAAATGGTCATGACCCTTTTAAAGTGTTTTTTTTTTTTAAAATAGTACTTACCAATCTACTAAATCCTCCATAAAGTATACAAAATCCTCCTTGATAATCTGAGAGATCTACAAATCCTTCAATATTTCTATAGTCATAGGAACAGAGTACTCTGTTGGTTGCAGGATTAATTTGGTCAAAGCCTCCTGGAGTTACTTCCAAAATTACAGGTTTTCTTGAGTCACTCCAGTGATGCTTATAGCAGTTGTATCTCTAAAGACAGAATCAGTATTACTTTTAGGTTCATAAAATAAAATCATATAAAATAAAATTTAATGTATCACAGTCACTATTGAAACGACCAAAAATCTAACTGTCATCGTAAATATTTAGAGCTACTATCCAAATTGTTAAAACTATGATTAATTTTAACTATTTGGAGGTGTTTAAGAATGTTCACACTAACTGAAGACAGTACATTCTTTTTTAATTAGCAAAGGGTTTGGGTTACAATATTTTATGAAGCTATTTTAAGCCACTCTATGTAAATTTATAAAAAGAAAAAAGAGGAAATCCTACATAGAAATGTATTCTGAAAGAGTTTTACTGGAAAAAAGATCTACTTTCTTTGATGGATTCTTTTAATCCAAGTTCAATAATGAAAAGAGCTAAGTCACATTTCAGGGAAGTTGTAATATTCAATTTAAACAACCTGAACCGCCTCAGTATATTAATGTATATTTTATTTCCACATACAAAAAAAAAAAGCTGAGGCCTGTATTTGACCTTAGGCTTTTCTAATCACACAACTGGAAAGTTATCTTCAAGATGTTTGATCATATTAGCAAGTAAAATTCCATTTAGATAATATTCCTTCACAAATTAAAGTAGCTGAGTGTCAGAAATTATTAGAATAGTCAATATCCATTTACTATCCAGTTTCAGTCTTTAAAAAGAAAAAAGGTTTAATCAAGGCTGCTAAGCAAAATGATGCGATACGGAAGAAGAAAATAAATTTAAAATAATAGAAAACTGAAGCAAAGAGAAAATAAGGATAACAAAGTTTCAGATGTGAAATGAGTATCCTCTCCCCCACCCAAACACCGCAGTTTTCTACCCATCAATATAAAGTGGGATACATGGTCAATTACAATTTTTAATGTAAAAATCAATTGGTTGCTCTGGAGTACAACTATTTCTGATACTGAAATAAGAAATTATCTTCTAGGTTTTCAGAAAAGAGAGTGAAGCACTAAGTAATGAACACCTCCACTAATATCCCAACACTGAAGTCAGCAATGACTTTCACAGGACATCAAGTCTCCTCAACATTACTGATCTATGCATCGAACACACACATAGTTCCATAAAAGTAATTATGCAGACAGACAAAGGGGCCTGCACTAATCCAAGAATACAGAACCTTGATTCTGAACCAAAAGATCAGTCAATGCCACACCTCTGCTGCAGGAATGGGAGAAGGCAGGGCACAAAAATTGTGGAGCTTTCCAAACTATACTTGTTTACATGCCTCAAGACCACTATATAGGATATTCTCCATTCCTCCCAGCTCATAAACAACTGCCATTAATGAGATGTGCTGATGGAAGCATCATTATCCCTCAGGATTGCAGGGGCCAACCAAGAAGGACTTTTGAGAAACCCTGATTTAGAAGTATATCTAGGGCAAATGGAGGTCTTAGAGCCAAATTCAACTTAGGCAAGAAGAGTGCCGTTTAGCCAGCACAGTATTTGGGGTGGAATCTAAACTTGTTATTAGGACAATACAGGTGTCACTTTGAGCCCCTTACTCCTGATGTAAAATCAGGTAAACTATCCTTTGGGCAATCTTCTAGAGGTACTGTTTCTACCACAAGATTTTGAAAAGTATTAAATGGCTGAAGTTAACTGGTACAAAAGACAGCTTATATAAAAATTCTAAGTATGCTTTTGAAAGCAGTTGTTTCCCAAACAGATGAGGTACGTCACCTGACAATATAGAATAATTAAAATAAGCACACCAAGTTATGATTTATAAAAATTTGACCATGGCTCATCAGGAACAAGAAATAAGCAGCTCGCCAGTTGCCATTAAACTATTTTTAAACGCTGCTGGGCAACCAGCCAATTGCTAGAGTTGAAATTAGTGAGGTTTCTGGGATGCTAAAAAAAGTAGCAGAATATTCATAGAAATATTCTATGAATGAGGGCTTAAGACAGACAGGAGAATGGTGCTGCCCGCATATCAGAATTCAGTTCCTGCCTTTTGCCAGAAGCTAGGGTTCTGAACAGTGCTATAAATTTAAGCATTATTTTTCTCCATTATAAAAGTAATACTTGCTAATGGGAAGAAATTTAATATCTCAAGAGAGTGAAAAAAGGTTACACTCCTGTTCCTCTTTCCCAGAAGTCTCTGATTTAGTTTAAATGCTGCTGTTACATTACTGGAAAAGGCCTGGGAAAGTTAAGACGACTCTGATATGCCACCACAGCTTCCTCCAAAGCTGTCAGTGCACCATGCCAAGCTTCAGTACAGGCCAGATCCAGTCCAAGAACATGTAAGAAGACAGTTTCAGTATGCTCAAATCTTAAAACTTGAATATTTCTGAAATAAGAAACTCCTACACCAAACAATGAATGAATGTTCCAACATGCACTATCAGCAGTATGACGTTCTCTGGTATTACTGTTTGGGATACTGCATAAGGACTACCTGAATGCTTATAGTGTTGCTTTTAATGCTCCAAAGGTTTTTTTGCCTTTTTTTCCCCCCATCTACCAGTATCAACATTCTTAAATCTAACTGTTCATATTTGAGTTTCCTGTTAAACTACATAACATGATATCAGGAGACATTACAATTTTGTTTCTTTTCCCTTTAGCTTTGCTACAAATGGAACACACAGATTATGAAATGATTTCTACAATAAAGGGCAACATTTGAACAAATAAAAATACATAATAAATGTTAAATATTTACCCTTCCTGTGATTTTTCCCTCTGAAAAATCAGTTCTAAATCTCTGAAAGAGAAAACATAACCACAGTTTATGACAACAGACTGGTAAGGAAAACTTGGCTCACTCCCTTCTACTCAAAGCAAGTAAAATCCTGACTTGGTAACCTGGACACTAAAAACTGTTATTCAAGTTATAGTTTAAGAATATTCAATAAAAAGAGTATGAAACCTTATTGAAGAACAAGATAAACATACAATGCTTTCTCCTGCATATGCAATTAAAAAAAACTAATAAACTTGCAAATATAAAAGATTTTCCAGCCTGTTAGAGAAAAGTGAACGTTTCACAGGGTCAAGTTAAAGGTCAGTAAGAAAAAAATAATCATAGTGGGTACAGGGGCAGAGAACATTAATTTCTCTACTTCTATGTAACTACTTCATTTTAAAAAGAGAAGAAAGAAATTTTATTTATGAACATGGAATCTTCTTACCAATGCTTCTGTAAGAAGTTCTGTTCTGTGCTCTGTAGAAAATTTTAAAGTTTCTGACTTTTTTCCACTGCCTTTACGAAATGTGAGGTTGAACTCCGTTCCTTGTCCTTTTCCAACAGGGCTGATGCTGCAAATGTCTCCATAAGGCCACTTAAAAAAAAAAAAATTTTGACTGGTGCTACTATAATACAGTAAAATGTAATGCTTATTTTTGTCACTTTAATTTCATAATCACTGATTAAATCAGCAAAATTTTATAAAATAGAGTCTAGAAATTGTGTCTTACAGTAATTCTGTAAAAAATTCTTTTAAAGGTTTTTAGTCAGAAAAATCCAATATGTATTCCTATTTTAATGATGACATTAATCCAAAGAAATTAAAATTAAAAAGTGATAAGAACTGGGAAGTGAAATTTTATGACTACTTAAAAATTTGTTAAAAAGTTTGTGAAACATGCCTAATTTGGAATTAAAATAGGCCAGAATATCTTTGAATATGTTTACTTATAAATGTTCAGGTTACTCTTGCCTTTATAAACCCATAATCCTACTCCCATGACGAGTATTTTACACTAACTGGACTCATGACTTATATATGCTTTTGTTACAGTAAAAAGTATAAGCCTTTATAAATTATAGAGAACTAAATTACTAATTTTACATAAAGGAGGTGGCCACAACTAATAGTAACATCAAGTTATACCCTTGAGAGCCCTAGAAATAAGCATATTCTCCCCCTCCTGTTTATTTATTATTTATTTTTGGTCCCCAAATCAGAGTATTATGTAAGCACATCAATCTCTTTCTGATTTGACATTTCTATCTTCAAGTACTGATTTAAGGGAGGGTAATGGTCACAGCCTGGCTTTTAAAATTCAAAGGGAGTTCATACAAACACCTAACAGCTTCTAACAGGATTACCTGATTTGTTACTTCTAAGGTATTGGGATTATATGTAGTAATCGCATGAGTTCCAACTGAAAAGACACGCTTATACCTACAAAGGAAAACAAGTGCTTAAATTTAGTTTTAAACAAAAAGATATTTTATAAGAAAATATATATAACACAAAACAAACAGTTCAATACATAGAAATGTGTTAGTTGATTAATGGTGACTAAATATAGCTTAGTTATATATTCTCACCTTTTTAAACATTCTAAAATGTTATTTTTATTAAAACCCACCCACTCATTTTACTGTGAACTATTAAGATATCTAAGTAGAAAAGTATGATTTATATGCAAGCAATCTTGTGTGATGTTAGTATAAATTAAGTTGGCAAAGCATCAGCTGAGGATGCTGAAAGATCCTAAATGGGAAAGTTTTATTAAAAAAAAAAAACACTGCATACCAATGCTTTCAAAATACCCTTACAACAAAGCCATATGGAAAGGAAGGAAAAGCTATGGCCTGGGGCAACTGGTCAGTCACAGCCATATCCTGGAATCTTAATAGTTTCTACTTAAGCAACTACCTATTACATCTCAGTGTTGCAATTTTATAGAAGTAGGAAGCCTACACCACAAACAAGCAGTTTTCACTTCTCACTTCATTTCCTTTCAAGTAACATATTTGAAGGAGAAAAAACATTTGGGTATCAGTAATCCTTCAAAAGAGAAAGGAATTCATAATCATAAAAGGAAATTGAATTAGAAAAACTTATTTAAAGCAAAATAATTAGTTCTTTGGAAATAAAATATTAAAATGGATAAAACATTAGTATATATAAAACAAAATTAAGGAAAACAAAGACTTCACACAACCAAAAGTTTTTTAAAATGCTGCATATAACTCTATGCTGACAAATTTGAAAATCAACCCTTCAATATAAGAATAAATCAACCCTTATATTGAAGAATTTAAGAAAGCTGCAAAGAATTACATCCTCCAAAAGCACCAGGCTCAAATGATTTCAAGACAGAAGAAACCTGAGGACCAAGTAACTCCCATGCTCCTTAAATTGTTGCCGAAAACTGAGTAAAAACAGCTTCTCAATTTTTTTAATACTACTAAAATCTGAAAAGACAATACAATAAGAAAAAAACCCACCAATCTATTTTCAAAGCTAATATTAGCAGTAACAATCAAGTCGCATTTTAAAATAGTAATACACCGTGACCAATTAGGTAAACACTTCAATATTAGAAAAATCTATTAACATAATTTGTTATATTTATTGAAATATCTAGTTGTATTTTAATACGAGATTTTTTTAATTATCAAAAATGCTTAAGTTAAAT
Source organism: Homo sapiens (assembly GCF_000001405.40). NCBI lineage: Eukaryota > Metazoa > Chordata > Mammalia > Primates > Hominidae > Homo > Homo sapiens. Next base: position 132,445,228 of record NC_000003.12, on the reverse strand, counting down.
CAAATGTCTTTTTGACATCTACGGAGAGAATCATGTTTTCTTCCTTTGAACTATTAGTATGCTAAAAAGGCATTAATAACTTAAACAAACAGCCATGATCAGACTCAAAGGTAATACAATAAAAGTATTCCCATTAAGATCAAGAGAGATCTTTCACATTTTCATTTTTCTCTTGTCTATTTTTTAAAATCAGTATATTATAAAAATGAGAAAGTATTTCCATTTAGGTAAAAAGGAAATGATAAGATTTTATTAATCTTTACCACATATCCATATACAAAAGTATTGCTACATTGTGTTTTTTTTCCTAACTCTACATGTCTAAAGTGGAGTGAGAAACTAAAGAATTATAGCACTTCCCTCTAACAAAAAAGCAGTCATTTGCTTCTTTTTAAAGTGGAGTGAGGGTTAGGGGACTGGTGAAGTAAACAAGCTATCTAAAGAGCTTAAAAGTTTCAAAACTTCAAAGGCTTAATCAATTAATAGGAACTAAAACAAAGAAATAAGATTTTGCTCAGTCTTTGACTTAAAAGCTGCACAGTGAAATCAAATGTGTGATAAGAGATGTGAATTCACAAACTATTTTTCAAAATCACCCTGAAAGTCAAACATGAAACTCCTTACAATCCTGAAATAAAACTACAGAATTTGTTTATTTTATTCTGTGAGCAAAAAGTGAAAGAATGCCTGAAATGTTCCAAATGTAACTGCTGGTGCCATGTACAGTCTTAGAAGACTGGCTAAGAAAATATCCTTTTCAATCCTACACCAATCTTCACCACCACACCTAAGCCTCTTCTAATATCTTTCTCATATAATTCTGTCATCTAGATCATACTGTCAAAAGAACTTTGAGATGACAATATTTTAGACCTACATTGTCCAATAAGAAAGACTTTCTGACATGGCAAAATTTCCACTGTCCAATAAGGAACTAGTCCCCAACCTTTTTAGCACCAGGGACTGGCTTTGTGGAAGACAATTTTTCCATGGACAGGGCAGGGGGATGGTTTCAGGATAAAACTGTTCCACCTCAGATCGTCAGGCATGAGTTAGATTCTCATAAGGAGCACACAACCTAGATCCCTCTCATGTGCAGGAGGTGGATGGAGCTCAGGCGGTAATGCTGGCTCGCTTGCCCACCGCCTACCTCCTGCTGTGGGGCCCAGTTCTTAAGAGGCCAAAAACCTGGGCTTGGGGGCCCCTGCAATAAGGTAGCAATGAGCAAAGTGTACCTATTGAGCACTTGAAATGTGGCTAAGGCAACTGAATTTTACATTTTATTTAAAGTTAAATAAATAGCCACATGTAGTTAGCGGCTACCATACTGGAGAGATCACATTCTGGATCCCTCAGCAAAAGGATCCTGGAGTTGTATGCATGCTAGACCCAGCAGAGTACTGTCATAACTAGTAAACACGGAGCTATCTTTAAGCCATCCTAAGAAAGCTATTAAAAAAAGAAAATTCCTAAGAGAACTCCCTTCCCCTCCGCACTCCCTTCCTTAAGTACTCCCCATGCCGCTCCTCTTTTTAGAGTGGCTGTTGAACTTCCGCTTAAGGATGGGGCAAATATTTCTATGTCATTTAAGACATCTTTTTAAGCAAGCTTGAACTTCCAAAGATTACCAAAAAAGCCTCCCTGGATAACAAAGCTAAACTTTCAATGATTTTCTAAAAAGCCCCCTTAGATAACAGATTTAGAGATGAAAATATCTAAAATGTCTCGCATGTATAGAATATTAGTCACAACATTTACAGCTAAAAGATTTTTACCAGCAAAGCACAATGACTCACACCTGTAATCCCAGCACTTTGGGAGGCCGAGGCAGGAGGATCACTTGAGGTCAGGAATTTGAGACCAGCCTGGCCAACATGGCAAAAACCCATCTCTACTAAAAATACAAAAATTAGCCAGGCATGATGGTGGGTGCCTGTAATCCCGGCTACTCAGGAGGCTGAGGCAGGAGAATTGCTTGAACCCAGGAGGCAGAGGCTGCAGTGAGCCAAGATCATACCACTGTATTCCAGCCTAGATGAGACTCCGTCTCAAAAAAAATAAAAAAAAGATTTTTATCTTTTACTAAGTCAACAGTGTCCCAAGTCAAAGAAGAGACAAAGACTCCACGGATTCAGGGAGGCACAAGTCTTCTTCTTTGAGGCTAACTCCTACCACAGTACCCAGCATTGACTACAGTAGATACCCCAATAAATGCTTAATAGCTAGATAAAACAATCTATCCAAAAATATGTCAACATACAAATCTATGACCTATTAGCCTGCTCTTGCCTTTAAAGCAGAATGTCAGACAGCAAGTAATTTTACACCAATTTTTAAATTCATAGTATAACATCAGAAAAAAGACCTTTGCCCCCTAACTGAAAAATTAATATTCATATTGACTTTACCTACTGCACCTGTTTTCTTTTTATTCAGGCACTAAACTTACATCATTAAATGCCTACAAGAAGTAGGCATTTCTTAAGTTATCACAACTCACAAGCTTATTGTAATACAACAGCTTATTAAGAAACATAACTTATGTTACCATTAGGTATAATGTTATTTAGAATCAGGAAACAAATGCTGCTTAAAGAAATACAAGTGTTTGAGGCGACTGCTTTATCTGTGGGGCATTTTACTCCCCTGCAATTGGTGACAAAGAAAAAGAAAAAAAAATGTTGTGCTGATGATAGTATTGGTGGAGATAAGATCATCTGAACAGGAAAACCACTGAGGCAAAAGCTGGGGATGTAATCAAGTTTTGGATTTGATAAGGTGATGCTTATATTTTTTAACAGACAGATTAAACATATTAATTTACATCAAAACACTTCTAAATTATTTTAATTCCTGAAAATAAAAATGTTACAGCATTCTTAAGTTTTCTAGTTCTTATGAATACTGCTTTCCTCTTTTAAACAATTTTTGTGGCCGGGTGCAGTGGCTCACGCCTGTAATCTCAGCACATCGAGAGGCCGAGGCGGGAGGATCACTTGAGCCCCAAGACCAGCCTGGGCAAGATGGCAGACCCCATGTTGAAAAAGACACACACACAAAAAAACCAACAATTTTTTAAAACATGTTTTTTTTTTTTTTAACATATGGCATTTTATAGCATGATTTTTTTTTACATATGGTATTTTATAGCATGATTTTTTTTTACATAAGGTATTTTATAACAAGATTTTTTTACATGTTTAGGCAAAATAAAAAAAAAAACCAATGTGTTAGGTCAGATACTCTATTAGGTACTATAATGGATTAAATGAGTATCTGACACTGTGCTGGGTTCAATAATATGACAGTGAATAGGAGTCCTTTAAAGACTCAGTTTCCTCCCAACATTTTACTAGTTATCTAATTCAAACATCTGAAATAAACTTCAAAGTAATAAGAGCTAAGATTCTTGTCACTGTCTCAAAGTTAATTTCTGACTCGAATATTTAACTAGCTTCTATCAATCAGGCATGTAAAATAGTGTCAACAGAGATACTACAAAAATACTGGTCGCCATCATAACATCTATTATATTCTTCTGCACAGAAAATCCATGTAATTCAGTATTATAATAGAGAAAATTCAACATTTTTGTAAACTGAGAAAGTTTACGTTTACTATAAAATAATGGTTCTCAAATTCTTGACGTCGGAAAATTTCTGTGTACCTGTATTACTTTTAAAGTTCAAGATCCTCAATCCCTTCAGTGGAGAATCTACGCCAACAGGCTTCAAAGAAGCCAAACAGAGCTAATCAAAGTTAGAAGACAGCTTTTATGTTACACACTCTAGATCTCATAACACACAGCATAAACCTTTATAATACTGTAGGCAAGGTTGTCTAGTTATAATTGTTCACTACTGGCTGATGCAAGGAAACTAACATATCTTAACTGAAAGCAATTCTATTCATGTCCCGGTATTGTAGATATTGACAACTGTTCCCTAGAAGTAAGCCAACATCTACTTCCCCACAAATTTTACCTGCTGGCCCAAGTTCTGTCTTTCAGCTGCACACAGAGCATACCTAATTCTTCTGCCAGTCAGACCTTCCATTCGAATTCTTTTTCCTAGGCTGAATATCCTAGTTCCCTTGGCCATTTTAAAACAAGTTTTGGCCACCAATTTCTTGAAGCCTTTAGGATACTCATGGAACCCAGGATTTTTCCTTTTATCATTAAAAGCTTGAGAATCCAGTAACTTGAACTAAAATTTGAGTCCATCTAATAATGAAATTAAGGATAACTGACCTACAACATTTCTTAGGAGATTAATGGTCAGCATTGGTAAAGGAGGCACTACAGCTTAATGGTTAAGCACACCAACTCGAGCCACATTGCCTGGACTACTCACTAGCTGTGTTTTCTCTGATAACTTCCTTAACTTCTCTAAGCTTTGGTTTCCTCGACTGAAAGATATGGATAATACATACAGTCATGCGTTGCTTAACAATGGGAATCAATTCTGAGAATCTGTCATTAGGTGACTTCATCATTATGTGACTATCACAGATTTCTTCCCAAAATTCTGTATGTAAATTACTAGTTTTGTACTTACACAAACCTAGATAGTATAGCCTACTACACTCCTAGGCTACAAGGTATAGCTTATTGCTCCTAGTGTACAACGTTACTGTACCTAATACTGTAAGCAGCTGTAACACAATGGTAAATATCTGTGTATCTAAACATATGGGATCATCATATATGCAGTCCATCATTGATGGAAATGTTATGTAGTACATGACTGTATATCTACTTCACAATGTGAGAAAAGAAATAATCCATGTAAAGTACTTGGCACTTATGTGCCTGGCTAATGAGTATAACAGTCAATAAATGTTAGCTATTCCTATTGCTATTATTCCACTAGTTGACTAACGGAGAGTGGGGAATCCCAAAACTCCAGTAGAATAACTGAACAAATTATAATTAGTACATTTATGTTTTAAAGTAGCCATAACTGCTTTTTTTGAGATGGAATCTAGCTCCATTGCCCAAGATGGAGTGTAGCGGCGTAATCTCAGCTCACTGCAACCTCCGCCTCCTGGGTTCAAGCAATTCTCCCATCTCAGCCTCCTGAGTAGCTGGAACTACAGGCCTGCGCCACCACACCAGATAATTTTTGTGTTTTTAGTAGAGATGGGATTTCACAATGTTGGCCAGGCTGATTTTGAACTCCTGACCTCAAGTGATCCTCCAGCCTTGGCCTCCCAAAGTGCTCGGATTATAGTCGTGAGCCACTGCGTCCAGCCCATGACTGCTCTAGTGTATTCATATTCAAAACAAAGAACAAAATTAATGGGCAAACTGATCGTTCATCTGGTTGTATTGCCAGGATACTCTGTAGTGGAAACTTGACTTGAAACATCAGTTTCACCAAGGAGGGCTCATTCAGATAAAAAGTTGTACTCCTCAGAAAAGAAAAAGAAGAAATGGATAGGACATACTCTGCAAATATCTGTCCTAAAAGCTCAGTAAGAGCTTTAGAAGAAATAAAAGGGCATCCCATGAAATGTAATATTTTAAGGCCTTAAATTCCATGATGCAATGTCTGTATCTTTTCCAGCTCGGATGGAGCTAGCTTTCAACACAACATTTTGTGAAAAACATAAGATTCCGATAAAGGAGATGTGATCCAATTTGCAATTCTAGGTAAGAGATGTTCAAGTCCCAGGTTGCCTGATGATAGTCACAAAAAATTAGACAAAGAAAACACAAAAGAATTAAGGACAGCTCATCTGAGTTTTAAAGACTGGCAGGGTCAAGAGCGAGGGGAAAAAAAAAAAAACAAAAAAAACCCCTCAGTATTCCTGGAGGTTATGAGGATGGGTGAGGTGTGTAAATGCCAGGCAGCAAAAGAAAAAGATATCTTTTCTCTTGTAGAACTCCATTCCTACATATAAGAAAGGTATTAGAAATTCACTAGCTTCCCTTTGTCTCAGCACTTCTCTCAATTTCCTGTATCCAGTTATTACAGAAACTATGAATGTAGTGAGCTTCTGTTATTAAATTTCATAGACTGATCATTACATATCCTAATGCATTGAGGTGAAAATCCTGTTTAGATACCAAAATGATACTCTAAATTCACAGCATTTCCTACAATTAATGTATGCAATATTAAGGTGATCCACAGGTAGATTTTACTTATAAATTTTTATCCAGAAAAAATTGAGAACCTGTACCTTGAATATCACTCTGAAGTTTTTCCACAGTGAATCTGCACTTCTGCTTTAACTGAAACATCTGAACTTTCCTTCCTCTCTGAAATGGCTTACTTAGGCCAAAACAGAAATTTTTCTCCTTCATGAAAGAAAAGTGCCTTTTCCCCCCTGAATCTACTCTCCTTTTCTTGCTCCTCCCAGAATAAACATATAATTAAATTATGTCTATACAAGTTGGAAAAATGAAAAGCGCAGAAGAAGCTACTTTGCCAGCTAAGGCATCCATACCGATGATCAACAGACCCTAAATAAAGGCATTCAGCAGCTATAAAGTGAGGTAATAATGAAAACTACTACAAAGGTAACAGAAATGGGTCACACAAATATCTTCAAGGGGAATACCTGGACAGGTTATCTTAATTTTGACATATGAAGAGAAGAAAAAATATTTATACATCTTTACTTCCACAATCAATAAAATCTTTCTGAAATGCTGGGGCTAGGTTAGCAACACGGAAATAGGCATGGAGTCTCTTAAAACTGAGGCCCTAAATCCCAAAAATCACAAAAAATTTGTTGTACGTAGACATGTTTCTAGAGACAAGGTTCAATTAACTATTCTGAAACAACAGAAAATTTTAATGTTGGCCATTTATTTTTTACATTAACACTGCTGATGAGTACTTTAAACCTAGATTAGAATTGGCCATATAAAATAGGTAAGTATAATAAAAAGTCTCAGTGCCATTTAATAATGTATATAACCCAATGAAATGATAACTATCACCATCTGGAAAATGTAAACTCTTTCAGGGAGAAGTTAAGATTCAAGGTGTATACACTGAAATCAACAGAACACTGTTGAAAGAAATTTTAAAAGATGTAAATAAATGAAAACACATGTTCATGAATCAGAAGACAATGCTGTTAAGATGGCAATACTCCACTAATGGATCTACAGATTCAATGTAATGCCTACCAAACTGTCAGCTGCCTTTTTTTTTTTTTTTTTTGAGACACGGTCTTACTCTGTCGCCCAGGCTGGAGTACAGTGGCATGATCTCTGTTCACTGCAGTCTCCGCCTCCAGGGTTCAAGCAATTCTCCCACTGCAGCTTCCCAAGTAGGTAGGACTAAAGGGGAGCGCCGCCATGCCCAACTAATTTTTGTACTTTTTGGTAGAGACAGGATTTCATCATGCTGGTCAGGCCGGGCAGCTGTCTTTTAAAAAAAAATTAACAACTGACTCTAAAATTCATATGGAAATGCAAGAGACCAGGAATACCCAAAATAATACTGAAAAATAAAATTCAGAGACTCGTATTTCTAAGTTTCAAAACAGCACAAAGCTATAATAATCAAGACAATATGGTACTGGCATAAGGTTAGGCATACAGGATCAACAGAACAGAATTATGAGTCCAGGAAAAAACTAAACAGTCATGGTAAACTGATTTTTGACAAGGGTGTCGAAACAATTCAAGTGGAAAGAACAGTTTTTTCAACAAATGATGCTGGCACAACTGGATATTCACATGCAAAGGAATGAATTTAGAACCCTACTTCACACCAAATACAAAAATTAACGCAATTAAAGCTATACAGCTCTTAGAAGAAAACAAAGAAGTAAATCTTTGTTAGCTTGGGTTAGGTAATGGCTTTTTAGATTACCAAAAGCACAAATGGCAAAAGAAACAATTGATAAATTGGATTTCATCAAATTAAAAGCTTTGTGCTCCAAACAATACCATCAAGAAAGTAAAAAAATCTGAAGAATTGGAGAAAATATTTGCAAATCATATACACGGAACTTTTATTCAGAATATATAAAGAACTCTCACAATTCAGTAATAAGACAACCTAATTTAAAAGTGAATAAATGACTTGGCTGAGCGCAGTGGCTCACACCTGCAATCCCTGTACTTTGGGAGGCTGAGGCGGGCGGATTACTTGAGGTCAGGAGTTTGAGACCAGCCTGGCCAACATGGTGAAACCCTGTCTCTACTAAAAATACAAAAATTAGCTAGGCATGGTGGCATGTGCCTGTAATCCCAGCTACTCGGGAGACTGAGGCAGGAGAATTGCTTGAACCCATGAGGCAGAGGTTGCAGTGAGCCGAGATCAGCACTCCAGCCTGGGCAACAGAGTGAGACTCTGTCTCAAAAAGAAAAAAAAAAAAAAGTAAAATAAAAAAAATTTTTTTAGTTACAGTGAATAAATGATTTCAATAGATTATTTCATCAAAGAAGATACACAAATGACCTACAAACACAAGAAAAGATACCCAACATCATGAATCACTAGGGAAATGAAATCAAAACTACAATGAGAAGCTACTTCGTACCTACACTAGGATGGCTAAAATAAAAAAGACAATAAGTGTTGATAAGGATATGGAGCATTTGGGACTCAGACATTGAAGGTGGAAATGTAAAATGCTGCAGCTACTTTGGAAAACAGTTTGGCTGTTCATCAAAAAGTTAAACAGAGTTACCACATAACCCACCAATTCCACTCTTAGGTATATACACAAAACAACTGGAAATATGGAAACATTCACAGTGGCATTATTCATAATAGTAAAAGAGTAAGAACAACACAAATGTCTGTCAGTTGATGAATGGATAAACAAAATGTAGTATATCCATACAACAGATTATATGACATTAATGAAATGAAGTACTGACATGCTATAATATAGACGACCTTGAAAACATTATGCTTAATGGAAGAAGTCAGTCAGAAAATACAGCATTTTGTATCATTCTATTTATATAAGATGTTCCAAATAGACAAATCCAGAGACAGGAAGTAGATTAACGCCTGCCAAAAGAGGGGGAAAAAGGGAGTTAACTGCTGATTTGTAACGCAGTGTTTAGAGGAAGTTTTTTGCAGGGAAGGCGAGGTGATGAAAGTGTTCTCAAAACAGTGATGATGGTTTACAACTTTATGAATACACTAAAATCCGCTGAATTGTATACTTTAGAAGGGTGAATTTTATGGTATATAAGTTATGCCTTAAAGCTGTTATAAAAACAAAACCAAGTCTCAAGGCCTAAAAGAATTACGCTAAGAGCACACAAACAGTTGTACTCTGAATTATTACGAGGAAAAAAGAGGATAGTTAAGTCTTAGTCACTACTCTAAGAACATTACCAAAAATTTTGATGATCACAGTTACTTACAAGCTCACAAATCGAAAAGCATTGCAGTAAGTTTGTTCTTTAGAATGTATCAGTATGTTATAATCATATTAAAAACGGAAGTCATATTATGATGACCAAAGTAATCTACCACTTGAGGAAAAAATAAGGATTATTTAAAGATATACTTTTCTAAGGTTGATTCAAAGAACTAAAATGACTCATACTACCCTGGATATGCCACTTTTCTCCCTAACTTCACTCATTGAAACTAACTAGGGGGAAAAAAAATGAGAGACAAGTATTCTAAAGGGTAACAACTATTCTAATTTAGGAGTTCATACAATTGAGCTATTAGACAACAAAATCAAATATTCAAATCTTCCAAAATTATAGGCAGTTTGCTAATGCAAACCAGAAATACTAGACAGCTCAGATGTATACCACATCCTAAGAAGTTACCACTCCAGTGACTAAAAAATGAAAAGTTGAGAGAAGAAACACTTACTGGCTTTGTGCATGTGTCACATTTTACCTTGTGGCACGATTCAGAATAATGTGGTCACTGATTTGTAAAAGTGTGACACACTCATTTTACTTATTACTGATCAAAGGGACCAGAGACTAAACTTTTGTAATGGTCAACAGATGCCATTCACTGAATACTCAATATATTTGAGGCATAATTTTAAAACTTTCATACATGCCATATCACTTCATTTAATCCTTACAAAAATCTGAAGGGTAGGAATTACCAACCATCTTACAGACAGGAAACAGAAGCACTTACATTTTGGTCTGACTAGGAAGCTACTAAAAAATGCCATCACTCCCTCCCAAAGAAAATATATTAAACCCAATTTTTAAATTTCATTACAGGCCTAAAAAAAGGTTAGACTTCACTAGAATGGCATATTTTCTCCGACAGTCAAACGGATATGAAAATGTTGGCTACAGACAGGTTAGTCACTGGGTAACAAAGATGTAGGGTTAACACTCTGCTACTACTATATAACCTCATCATTAATTGATAGCATACAAGAGCGTGGATTAACTGGTTTACTTTCCTTTTAACTGTCACTTTTAATTCTTACCAAACTCCTTCCCAAGAAAGATACTGAAAACTGGAAATGTCAAAAGAAAAAAAAATACATGTAGCATTTACATTTATAATATGCACGTTTTTCAGAAGAGAAGGGCTGTATAGCCTGAGTTGTGCAGTATTATTCAAGATTATGAAACACAGTAATGTTTAAAATATTTTATAGAAGCACAGAAAAAAAAACCCAACAAGAATACTTACTTCCCCCTCCATGAATGTTTTGTTGTGTAGAAACATGCCAGATCCTTATTTTCCCTAATTATGTTCATTTTGTGCTCAAACCTGGAAGATAAAAATATGAGGGCACTTAGTACATGTTATATATCTTTAATCTTTCCAAGATTCCCCTAAGAAAGGTAGCAAGATCGCTCTCTCACTTTCACAGCCTGCCGTATATCCTTTACAAGACCATAAGGTTTTGTTTTTTTTTTTTTTGAGATGAGTCTCGCTCTGTCGCCCAGGCTGGAGTGCAGTGGCACGATCTTTGCTCACTGCAAGCTCCGCCTCCTGGGTTCAGGCCATTCTCCTGCGTCAGCCTCCCAAGTAGCTGGGACTACAGGTTCCTGCCACCACGCCCGGCTAATTTTTTTGTTTTTTGTTTTTTTTTTTTGAGATGGAGTCTCGCACTGTCGCCCAGGCTGGAGTGCAGTGGCGAGATCTCGGCTCACTGCAAGCTCCGCCTCCCGCGTTCACGCCATTCTCCTTCCTCAGCCTCCAGAGTAGCTGGGACTACAGACGCCTGCCACCACGCCCAGCTAATTTTTTGTATTTTTAGTAGAGACGGGATTTCACCGTAGCGAGGATGGTCTCGATCTCCTGACCTCATGATCCTCCCGCCTTGGCCTCCCAAAGTGCTGGGATTACAGGCGTGAGCCACAGCGCCCGGTCAAGACCATAAGGTTTTTAAAGACGGGGACTGGTCTATTCAACTCTTTATCATAACCTTTAGCACCATATTGTGATTGTCCAACTCTCTCCCACACTGGACTGTGTTTCTTGAGGACCAGAAATGACCTCTATCAACATCCCCAGTGTACAGAATTTTTAAAATGTCAAATAAATAAAGCTTTAAATCTGACATTGCCAAATAATGCCATGGCACACAATGGATACCTAAACACATTTTCCAAGAGTCAAACCAGTTCCAAAAGTTTTTTGGTGAGCTACTAAGTGCTGGCCATTTTGCTGACACTACCACTTCAAAGGGGACCTACTATAAATAAGGCAATTTAAAAATAATTTTCTCGCTGGCACAGTGGCTCATGCCTATAACCCCAGCCATTCTGAGGCTGAGGTGGGAGGATCGCTTGAGACCAGGAGTTTGAGACCAGCCTAGACAACATAGTGAGACGTTCTCTCTCAAAAAATAAAAGTTAACAGGGCATGGTAGCATATGCCTACACTCCTAGCTACTTTTCAGAAGAGAAGGGCTGAATAACACTATTGAGTAGTGTGGTATTATTCTGAGGCTGAGGTGGGAGGATCACTTAAACCCAGGAGTATGAGGCTACACTGAGCTATGATTGTGCCACTGTACTCCAGCCTGAGTGATAGAGTGAGATTCTGTTTCTAAAAATAGAACAATTTCCTCATTATAAAAGTGATATAGGTCCACAGTAAGAAATCTAAAATGTTCAGAAAGCAAATCATCATTCGTCCTTGTATCTGAAGATAATCATTTTAGCCTTCCTTTTTATATTTAGAAAAATCCTTATTTAAACAAGATTGCCATTTGTACTGCTTAACCTGTTTGCAAAGAATGTTAACCTTTCCCCATGTAATTATTCTATAAGAAAATTATTTTTAAGGCTATATGGTATTCCACTTTATGAATATTCCAGAACAGTGCCACTCAAAGCATAGTTGCAAATGGTTTGTTTCCAAGCCACATCAAGGAAAGTAAAGAAATTGAGATTAAGTGTTTAGAAACTTCTATGGCGGTTTGATTAATGCACTCCTCTGGTTGAACAGGATATAGAACAGATCAAGATTGTTGAATCTGTGTGATGACTCACTCGTGGAATCAGCCTCCTAACAGTCACATGCAATGAAACCACATTATGTACAATATTCATTGACTGTAACTTAGTATATAAAATCCAGAATCCATTTATTTCATCTAAAAAAGGTAAACTTAGCTAATTTTACAGGATAAATTGTTGGAACTGGCTGCTAATGAAAGACTGATAGGTTTTGAAAATACTGTATCACTTACTTCATTTTGAATAAAAGTTAAATATGGTTATTTCTTTTGTGACTTAGCTATTTCTCCCTTGCCTTAATAGTTAGAAATGCACTCTAAAAAATATTGTAGAGGCCGGGAGCGGTGGCTCATGCCTGTAATCCTAGCATTTTGGGAGGCTGACATAGGTGGATCACCTGAGGTCAGGAGTTAGAGACCAGCCTGGCCAACATGGTGAAACCCCATCTCTACTAAAAATACTAAAAAATCAGCCGGGCGTGGTGGCAGACGCCTGTAATCCCAGCTACCCGGGAGGCTGAGGCAGGGGAATCTCTTGAACCCGGGAGGTGGAGGTTGCAGTGAGCCGAGATCGCACCACCGCACTCCAGCCTGGGTAACAGAGCAAGACTCTGTCCCCCCCCAAAAAAACAAAAACAAAACAAAACAAAAACAAAAAAATTTGTAGAAAATACACCAAAGTGCTAATACAAACTGAATAGTTGGAATTCTTTAAGCTTGCTTTATATCTTTTTATACTGTGAATACTAAGTCAGCAAGTATTTTTTACATAATTAGAAAAAACTTTTCAGAAAAAAAATTTTTATAACGGCTTGAGACATAATTCACATACCACAAATTCACTCTTTTAAAAAGTATACAATTTGGTGATTTTTAGTGTATTTAGAGTTCTGCAACCATCACCACTATTTTCGGAACACTTGCATCACCCCAGTAAGAAACTCTGTTAGCGGTCACCCCCCATTATACCTCAGCCTCAGCACCTAGCAGCCACTAATCTACTTTGTCACTGTGGGTTTGCTTATGCTGGTCCATACTGCCAAGTAATATTCTGGTATATGGATATACCTATTTTATCCATTCGTCAATTGATGGACACGGGTGTTGTTTCTACCTTTTGGCTATTATGAATAATACAACTATGAACAAGCATATATGAGTTTTTGTGTGAACATACATACTCATTTCTCTTAGGTATATACCTGAGTGGTAAAAACATTTTTTAAAAGATACCCTTATTTTGAAATTGCTGTCTTCATTCGTCCTGCTTGTTTTTGTGTTATTACCAATTATCGAGAGCCTTTGTACTATACATAGAACGCTCACCCCCTGGATATTTATATGGCTTATACCTCTATCTCCTTCAAATCTGTGTTCAAATGTCACCTTTCCAATGATGCCGACCCTAAACATCTTGTTTTAAATTGTAACCACCCTCTCCTCATTCTACTTAAATTGTAACCACCCTCCTCCTCATTCTACCCTATTCCCTCTTACTCTTGTTTTTCCCCCATAGCACTTTCCACATTCTAATGTGCAATTTATTATTCACCTAATTCTACTGGAATATCCAGAGAGAGGTAGTTTTGTCTGTTCAGCTCACTATTGTTTCTACAGAGGCCACAAGAGTGCCTGATACAAAACAGGTGCTCAAAAATAAGTATTTGAGTTAAGGAATAAAATTCAGCAAATACATGGGCAATTCTGATATCTACTTCAAACCTGATGCTCTAACAGGGACTCCCAAATAGGGTTTTGTCAAACCTTCTGGAAAGGCATCAGCAATTCATGCTTTGAAAAATAACAAAAGGAACCACAAGTAACACCAAGTTTAAAGAAGCTTTTATTGTTACCAGAAAGAAGAAATTTCTTACAGTCAACTAACATCTTCCTGCTAGTGAGTATAGGGACAGCTAAATGTAGTCCTGACAGTTGGTATGGTGTTTTGTTTGTCTGTTTCTGGATTTCATACCTGGGATGACCAAAGCACCCAACTAAGATTTATTAAACCCAGTAAGAATTATCCCTGCCTTCTGAATCTTTTGCAGTAAATGATATTGCTGAAAAGAAACCTGGGCAGTATCTCTGAAGACTCACCAAAAAAGGGAGAGAGAGAGATATATAGGTGTACGGATATTTTTCCCCTATATAACTGAAGAGTGGAACAATGGGAAGAGAAAGGCAGATAGAAAAGGTGAATGGCTGATACTGAAGAATGGGGTTTGTATTCCTAGTCTAAACTTAAGATATTGGAATAACTGACTCTGTACCAAGGGCCTATCTTGGGAAAACTGAGAAACAAGAAAATGTGTTGAGTGGAGACTGGTTGATAAAATTAAGGATCTAAAAATTAAAATGAAAGGCAGAGAAAAATAAAGATTTTAAAACGACAACCATAAAAAACACGGGGCATGACCCAGAAGGAATAAAGATCCCTAATAAACCCATAGGGGGGAATAAGAACAAAATAATCTCATAATAACAAAAGAAATATAAGAATTATTAAATAAATTTTTTAAATAATTTAAAAAATAAACACCTAAAGAATGACCTCATAGGTACCACTGATTTGGGGTTATAGAACTCCAACAGACCTTTTGGGACATGAATTAAATAACTTTACATCAAGAAGGCTTTTGAAGGTCTATAAACCTGAAGATGATGAAAGCACCAGACTCCAGAGAGTCCTTAGGACAGATAAAAGGAGTATGAGAAGATATAACACATTAAGATAAAAGTAAACTACCAATGACCTGGCCTATTAGAATAAATATTGTATTCCTGATGCAGATGAGAATGCTGACAGAAAACTAGTGTAGGAGGAAAGTAGTAGTACTTCAGTTCTCCAGAAGTTCATATCATCAGTACAAGTTCCTATGTCCAATATTTGCACACCTGATAATTTTCTGTCTCTAATATTTAAGAAAGCAACAAGTGATGTTTTACTCTGCATCCAATAAAAGGCTAGTAAAATGGGCTTTTTATGGAAGAAAATTGCTCCTCTATTTGAAAAGCCTGTCTTCAACTACATTATATTTATGTAAGGGTATATCTGAGAGGTAAGGGAGGGAAGAGACACCCCACTAACTAGCCAAGTCAACCCCAGAAATAGTGGAATAATTCAATGCTATATTACCATCTGCCTAACCTCAAAATGGAAATCAGGATAATGCTTTTCCATTTTAAAACTCCATTGAAGACTGCCTTTAATAAAGGTAGGGAAGCAAGGTGACTCTAATCTGAAAATTTATGACATGTCCTGAAATTATTAAACAACTTATATTGAATACTCATCACATGTTGGTGTTCAGCCTATGCATTTACCATGCATTTATTTCATTTTGTCCCCATAACAACACTGCAGTACAGGTATGACTCTCATTTTATTGACAAGAAAACTGATAAATCACTTTTCTAAGGTAACACAGCTGGTAAGCGATTGGGCCAGACTTTGGACTAACCTCCTTAACTTCTACACCCTAGGTTCTTAACCTAAACTTTAATACCTTCCCTCAACTTTAAGGAAAAAAAAAAACTTCACCCTGACCATGTAATTACAGATGTATCATTTGACTGCAAATTCCTGGAATAATTCAGAACTAGTTTCGGTTATTATCTTCATCTGGACAGATGATACTTGTTAGAAATAACTTTGAAATCTACAATTTTAAGCAGTAAAACAAATTACCATATTCAACATAGGACAAAAGAAATAAAAATAAGTCTCCAAAGCTGAAATATTCTATCATCTATAAATAAACTTTCAAAATATTTCCTTCTTTATATAAGCTTAAAAAACATTTTTTGGCTGGGCGCCGTAGCTCACGCCTGTAATCCTGGCACTTTGGGAGGCCGAGGTGGACAAATTACAAAGTCAGGAGTTTGAGACCAGCCTGGCTAACATGGTGAAACCCCGTCTCTACTAAAAATACAAAAATTAGCCAGGCGTGGTGGAGAATGCCTGTAATCCCAGCTACTTGGGAGGCTGAGGCAGGAGAATTGTTTGAATCCAGGAGGCAGAGGTTGCAGTGAGCCGAGATGGCACCACTGCGCTCCATCCGGGCTGACAGAGCAGGACTCCGTCTGGGGGGAGGTAGGACATTTCTTGACAAAGTGTTCAAAACAAACATACAATGACAAAAATTTGTTACCAATATATGATCTCAGGATACTCTTTAAAGAGAGTTCAATTACTCTAACCAACATCGAGCTTTTAAAATAACCAGATTGGCTAGGCACCATGTCTCATGCCTGTAATCCTAGCACTTTGGGAGGCTACTGTGGGAGGATCACTTGAGTCCAGAAGTTTGAGACCAGCCTGGGCAACATGGCAAGACCCCCATCTCTATTTAAATATAAATTTTAGATGAAAAAAAGATAAGATAACCAGATAAATGAGATCTGAGGCTGAGATCTATTTCCCGGCAGTGTAATATTAGCCTATCCACATTTTCAGGTAAATCTATTTTACATTCTCAGTAAAATCTTAACTATTGTTTGATAAAGTCATTTCAGCCAATGAATGGCAAGTGGTCTGGAAACTGCATTAACTCTTTTAGACCACGAAGATACTTTTAGACACGCACGTAACTCGCTAATGAAGGTAATGGCAATGCACAAAGATCAGAAAATGTACCAACTATGTATCATTCAAAGTGAGAGGTAGAATAATTTCAAGATAATAATTGGCAAATGAGTGAAGACAAGTCTAGAGGTCCTCCAAGTACAGTAGTCAGGAATCATTCAATCTGGGAAGACCCTGGAATACCTCCCTAGGGCACTGATCACAGAGCTGCCATTCCACATGCTATACGTTAACTAGAGACTAGCACAACAGGCTACATTAACATTCCATTAAAATGATGTTAATAATCTATTTATTACCAAGATAAAGCTGGAGAATTTTTATAACTGCCATTTACTGGCTGCGTGACTTTGAACAAAAGTTTCTGAATTTATCTGAATTATAGTACGTCTATAAAATAGGAATAACTGTCCCGAAGGGCTATGGTGAGGACTAAATGAGATAACCCAAAAAAAGAAGTTATTTTGGGTAATTCTACTATATCTTATTTTCAAGAACTTACCAGCTCTTGTACCTAATACAGCATTTTGGGGGGAAATTCTATTAAATTACTTGATTTTCTCTAAATCTTTTATTAATTTCAATCCCTCTAGTATGCAATAGATATCACCTAGAATGTTCACCTTCAAAAGTACAGTGTTCTATTGATTTAATCAGCATTCACTTTTACTTAACCATTCAAAAATAACTATAACAATATATATTTCTTAAACTGAATGATGTACATGAGGATGCCATTTATTATTGTTACTGTCATTATTATTTTATTGTTACAATTTATGTTTCCCATAAAACGTTTTTAAAAAGAAAAAAATATTGCCGGGTGCGATGGCTCACGCCTGTAGTCCCAGCACTTTGGGAGGCCAATGCAGGCAGATCGCTTGAGTCCAGGAGTTCAAGACCAGCCCAGGCAACATGGCAAAACCCTGTCTCTACTAAAAATACAAAAAATTAGCTGGGTGTCATGGCACAGGCCTATAGTCCCAGCTACTTGGGGGGCTGAGGTCAGAGGACCACTTGAGCCTGGGAGGCTGAGGCTGCAGTGAGCGAGCCCTCATCTTGCCACTGCACTCGAGCCTGGGAGACAGAGTCAGACCCTGTCTCAAAAAAAAAAAAAAAATATATATATATATACACACACACACACGTGCACACACACACACACACACACACACACATATGTATATATAAACACCAAGATAATCAGGATAGATGAAATTTTTAAAAATCATCTTGTCAACTATAACCCAACACTTAAGCTTGTCTTTTATTTCAACTTTATTCCTACAAAATACTATTACAAGTCAATCTTATTTACTACATTTTTAATATTCCCCACTTAGGTATTTGAAATTTCAGTTGTTAGAACTGTTTCCTTACATGTATCCAACCTAATATTTTTAAATTTATGTTTGATGGCTACAAATTAACTATGGCTTGAGAAACTTTCAAGAAAAAAAAAACTTCACAAAATAAATTTAATCTGCAGTCAATATTTCCTCTGTACATTAATAAGCTCTAAAAGTGATTCAAAAAAATCATCACTTATAGGCAAAAACTCTTAAGCAACCATTGATTTCCACTATTTATGATGAAAAAAATCTGTAAAATTTCTAGTATCAGAAGCTCAAGTATCAAGCAGGTAATATCAGTAACAGTCAAATATAAGCACATGCTATCAACAACCACAAACTGTCCAACTAAAAAATGTAAACAGTTAAATGGGATCTTGAATGAGATCTTGGTAGCAGCTGTATCACTAGCATTTGCCATTCTGCCAGTTGTTTAGAGGCTATTCGAAATAGCAGGAATTTATCTGCTCAAACTAACGTCACTTAAATTTCATCTCCTTCATTCCTGCAATTGTGTTCCATATTTCAAATTCTCAAAGACCCATGATTCTTTCTGATGAGGAAAAATCAAATTTACATGCCTTTTGTAATTAAATTGCATTGAAAGCATCTCCAATTTTTGCGAGTCAGCTTCACTTGTTTTCATGCTATATCCTAAATTACACCACCAAAGAAACTTCTGTTTGTTCTTTTTATAGAACTGTCCTATGGGTTAAAAAGTCAAATTCAGGGCAACACAGGCATTTTGGCTAGATTCACCTCTCTCAATGAATACTACTGCATCATGCTTTCGAACAACACAATATTCTTGCATTCTCTAATTTATTACTGGCAGTAATACTGGCAAACCATTTAAGATCATTTATGGTTAAAATGAGAATGATCTTTTAGAAGACACATAATTTTGACAGAAAACCACAGGATTTGGGAGTCCAGTGAGAAGAAGCCTACATCAAGTTGACACTAAGAACAAAAGCAAGATGAAGGGACTCAACACCACAGACACTCAAGCCAATTACGGTCAAGCTATAAGCAAAAAAATTTACACACACAGCAAAATTAAGTATATACACATGGCTTGTGTTAAGCAAAAACACAAGCAGAACACTCATTTAACTAGGGATGAATGAATACACTTAGAAAAAAATACACTAGTGAAAGAAGGATTGGCATTAATCAGGCTAGTCACCTGTTTAAAGCACGTATTTAGCATCATCAACTGGAAGTAATTTTTACACAAATATGACAACTTGCAGAGAACAGGTAAGCTACTGATTTTCCCATTTTGAGTCTGTAAAATGCAAGAACGGAACTTACTTTCATTAGCTCTGCCCTCAATAACTAAAAATGTGAATTTGTTTTGAAATGCATAAAAAATAAGATGGATTGATGGAAAGATGGACAGATCTGTGATAAAGCAAGTACAGTAAAATGTTAATGTAAAAACCTTTAGGTGGGCATGTGGGTATCTAATGTAAAGTTCTTTCAACCTGGCTGTAGGTGAAAATGTTTACAATATGTTGGGTGAAAATTGTGGAGTTTGCCTTTTCTGATCAAACTCTCCTACAACAGAAACAATGCTACATTCCAAAACCACACTTAAAATGTAGCAGACATTCACATCATAGGAACTAATTTATGAACGTAATACTTCCTACAGCTATATCTTACCAAAAAGGGAGGGGTAGTAAGGAGAACCATGGAAAGACTAACCCTTTGAAAAAATAACTAATAAGAGTAATAGATAGAATATCTTATATTGGCTTCTTGAGGATCTAGGTTTGTTTGTAACTGGATTCAAAATCTGAGTAAATCATAGCACTAGATTAGTTTGGTTTCAAACAAATGGTAAAAAATATGAATGGCTAACAGAATGTTCATTTTTACCCAGATTAAATAGCTACAACTAAACTGTTTAGATAGAATGTGCTGTGTATGGGGGAAACTGCCATATGAACTTTAACCCTATTTTTAAATTTTAGCTTCATTTTAATATATGACTCAAGTACAGGTAAAAGCATTTTCTTCTAAATGAACAACAAATCAGTATGTGTAATATGTATGATACCAACAGGAATCTTAAAACAAACCATAAATACATCACAAAGATTTTAGTACCTACCATCTTAGCCTTCCTTAACTTACTGAAGAACCCGATACCTCCAGAGATAGATGTCGTTGAAGAATAAAAAAAGCCAGCGGTAATATCAAATTTCATCTGATAATCATATCTTCAAATAATTGCCCAGATATTTTAAAGTGAAGTGATTGTACTGTCACATCATAATCAACTTTTAACTAGTTTCACTACCATAGGGTAGCTGAAATAATATGAGATCTCCACCATTGTTTTTAAAAACTTGATTCCTTTCTATTACAAACTGAGTATATATTAATGAAATACAGGGCAAGAAAAATTCAAAAGCAACCCCTAAATCTGAAGAAACACTTAATGGGAGGAGGGGACAAGCATACTTACCATAGCAGTTACTTTTTTTGACCTCTTCTATTCAACAGTATAAATCAAGTATTGAAAAGAGACCTGTCTCTTCTATTTCTATCACATGTATGCTCATTTCATCTGAGGGGAATAATTTGTATTTCTGACAAAACAGAAGTTTATCTGTTGTTAAAAAAATTCAAATTTTCTGTGAAAGATGTATTACTATGACCCTTCCCTTTCCAAAGCTTAAAAATGCCTTAAAATACTCACCTGAAAGCTTTCTTTCCAGAAACATGTTCACTTAAGCAATGCTTTGAAATCATTGCTATTGATCATTTACATATTTTTAGTTTATACACATTATTGTAACTTTATAGACCTAATTTCTATTTCATTTTATCTTTGAAGCATAACCTGGCTTATGCAAGAACAAACTATACTATTTCTGTAAGGTCTTCAGCTTATCAACTTATTAAGCTTATCAGCTTATTAAGGCACTTAATAATCATGCTCTACTATGGTAAACAGGCCCTGAAATGGGCAAAAGAAATTTTTAGCAGCCATATTTTAACTTGTTGCTGTTTTTCCTATCATTACAGTAAATGCATAATGCGGGACTAAATTTCCTAAGCTTTTAACACATACAACTTGAAGACAGTTTTACAGAAAGCATCCTGAAAACCCAAACACTGTTCTTTTTATACTATTAAAAGACAAAAGTTTAATTTGCTACAATTTCCCCTTCACTCAATACAAAATAGCAAAAACATACATTTCTAGTTTAGTTCTGAAATATCCCTATTATTCCTACCTCTTCTGTGGCGCTTTACAGTTTATAGAACACTACCAAATTATCTTAAAAAAGCAAAGTTTCACTTTTAAAATTAAGCCCATTAGTGCTAAGATTTGGGGGGAAAATGGCTTATCTGCTCTAAGATTTGATAAACATTCAAAATACATTCTGTAGCTTGACTAGAAGTTTGAGGAGAGAAACCCCATAGCCTTAGATGACTAAGGAATACAATAAAAGTGAGAACACCATGTATAAGCGTTTAAATGTATTACAGAATACATGAAATATTAGAGAACATCTCCTCCATTCATAACCTCACCAACCCTTCCATTAAGTTGTGGCAACTAGAGCTGGCAAAAATCAAAGCGTCGAAATAATTTTTTTTAAGAGACAGGGTCTTCCTTTGTCACCCAGACTGAAACGCAGCAACACAATCATAGCTCACTGTAATCTCAGTCTCCTGGGTTCAAGCAATCCTCCTGCCTCAGCCTCCCGAGCACACGTCACCACAGCCAGCTAGTTATTTCATTTTTTGATGAGACGGGGTTGCTCAAGCTAGGTTGGAGCTCCTGGCCTCGAGTGATCCTCCCGCCTCAGCCTTCCAAGTGCTGGGATTACACGTGTGATTATTGTGCACCCAGCTAAAATAATTCTGGATTGCTTTAGGGGTTTTGTTTTCTATCTGATAATCAAAATATCAAACTCTTATTAATCCATTGCAAAGAGATATTACCACTGGGCATGTGCTAAATATGTGACTAGGCAGTGTTCTTCTAAGGGCAACTTGAGTGCTTAAACTGTAAAATTCCACTGACTTTAAAGCTCACTCTTTTTCACAAGTAGTCCATGAAAGTACAAGTAAAACTCCCATATGTCGACTATTGAATAAAGAGC
Organism: Homo sapiens; assembly: GCF_000001405.40. Classification (NCBI taxonomy): domain Eukaryota; kingdom Metazoa; phylum Chordata; class Mammalia; order Primates; family Hominidae; genus Homo; species Homo sapiens. The sequence goes on along the minus strand of NC_000003.12, from coordinate 132,422,771 downwards.
ATCTGAAAAGAATTACTAGCAAGCTATATGGTTTTATTGACTGAACCACACCTAAATGTACCTTTGCACAGGTAACTATCTTAAATTAGCAAAGATGATCATAACCATGTTGGTTTAAACTATTTGTTACAAAGAAATCTAACTCAGTTACTCTCAAAGGAGTTCCTATGATTAAGAATCACTCCACATAACAAGAAGTGTTATAAATTGGCATATGCTGGGTATGTGAACACTGCTGAAACAGAAAAAATATGTTGAAAACCACTGATTAAAATTTTGAACTAAAGTAATGGTTGGGCTAGGATGCCATCCCATCTGAGGCACTATGACTGGGAGCACTACTAGCATTTAGTGGATGAGACTAGATATTCAACATACATTACAGTCCCAAAGATAAGTACCATCCACACCATACGACTTTCAAGTGTCCAAGTGAGCCAGGTATGGTGGCTCACACCTGTAATCCCAGCATTCTGAGAGGCTGAGGTGGGAGGATTGCTTGAGCTCAGGAGTTTGAGACTAGCCTGGGCAACATAGTGAGACCTCGTCTCTACTAAAAATAATAATAATAAAAAAAAGTTAGCTGGGCATGGCGTGCCTATGGCTCCAGATACTAAGGAGGCTAAGGTGGGAGGATCGCTTGAGCCCAGGAGATCAGGGCTACAGTGAGCTATGATCGTGTCACTGCATTCCAGCCTGGGCAACAGAGTGAGGTCTGAAAAAAGAAAAAAAAAAAGGAAAAAGAAAAAAGTCCAGAAGTCCAAATGCTTAGTTGGTTAGTCATGTAGGCAAAAACCTATTTATAATGAATGAATCCCAGACTCTAATTGTTTTATATATAACTCACCAAGTACATTTTGCAGGGTTTAATATACAGAGATTTTTCCAGGAATGTGGCTGCAATGTAAATTAAGAGATTATACTTTATTAACCCTGTTCTTTTCTGACAATGCTAATAATCTCAATTGTGGTATTTGAGTCACCAATGTGACAAATCTGTAGACATCAACATTTCTGTCAAAAATCAAAATGGGCCAGGCATGGTGGCTCACACCTGTAATCCCAGCACTTTGGGAGGCCTGGGTGGGTGGATCACTTGAGGTCAGGAGTTCGAGACCAGCCTGGGCAACATGGTGAAACTCTGTCTCCTAAAAATACAGAAAAAAAAAAAAATCAGCCCAGCATGGTGGCAAGCGCCTGTAGTCCCAGCTACTCAGGAGGCTGAGGCAGAGGTTGCAGTGAGCCAAGATCGTGCCACTGCACTCCAGCCTGGGTGACAGAGCAAGATTGTCTCTCACACACACAAAAAAAATCTCAAAATGATTCCATGTAAAGATACAAGCCTCTGACACGTCCTTTGTGTATTTTGGTATAATCATACTTAACTATTTACATATTGAAATGCATATAGTCAATTCTGCTATAATGCTTTCTTGATCATGTGAATTTTAACAGGATTGGTGTATTACTGAACAATTTGAGCATAATGAAAATGTCACATTTGCTTATAGTGATTCTGTCCCAACACTAAGTGAACGCAGAAAATTGTACCCAACTGAGTCATGCAGGAATTCACAAAATACACACACACACTTCAGGTGGTCAATGAACCACATACATTCACATATATGTTACTAATTTTCCACTCCATCTTATAACTTTTTTTCCTTCTACTACTTCACAGTAATTCAGAAACTATAACTCCATCCAATGCTCACTGCATTGTTTGCTCAAACTTTTTCAAGGCAAAATGTCATTATTATAGTATTTAACATGTACAAAACAGTTCTTTTTAAGCTCCTATCTTTTTAAAAAATGTATAATGATGACTGCTCTTTCTCTTGGGAGTTTTTTTCATGGGCCTCATAATTTTTGGTTAAAAGCTGGACATGTTGTGTAGGAGTAGAGATTGAGGTAATTTTTATGACTGGAAATGAGCACGCCTGTTCTTTGTGAGGCCTTTGGTGAAGGGTTTGTGTTAATCTGGTTAGGAGTTGGACTTAGTTTATGATTTGTTTTTGCCATAGTTATCCTCAGTGTATTACAGCCTTCATGAATCTGCAGAACAGTTTGTCTCTCTGGTGGGCGATGGTTTACTAGAGCAATGCCTGTTTGATTCTTTGTGTTGTGCCTCTTTGCATAATCTTGTTCCTTTCCTAGTAGTATTTTGTGGGTTACTTGTTACTGAAAGCTTCTTAGCTTGGTGGCAGGGGGTTGGGGGTGGGGGATACAGTCTGATGTTCTGATTAAGTCTAAGTCAAACACTGTGTTCCTGAATCTCAGGAGGGCAGCACTCTCGGTTCTGTTGACCACTCCCGACTGCAGTTTTGGGCTCAGGGCCCCTCCTCCAGGCATAAGATTCTCTCCCACTTCTCATCTACCCCCTGAATGTTCACCAATGGGGCCAACAGAGATACCCTTCTCCCCAGAGATTAAAGCTTTTTTCCATAGAAGAGGCAGAGGGGAAGAATCACAGCAGTTTCTTGACCCTCTTAAAAGTTCTGTTGCTGTTCCTCTCCCTCTCAATCTGCACAGCAGACTCACCCAGGGTTCTTTCCAGTCTTTTCTAGTAGACCCAGGGAGGTTTGTGGATAAGAGTTTGCAAGATTGTGCATTCAGCTTTCATCATGCTTTTTGTCCAGTTGTGTCTGAAGACGGTAAACAGAAATTGACATCTACTCTCTGTAAGCACTGTCTCTCAAATTTTCAGCCAGTGGTTTTGCTCTGTGGACTCAGCTCTTTAATAGATTTCAAAAAAGTCATGAATTTGTAGTGTAGGTCTTTTTTTGTTGCAGAAGTGAGAGCAAAGCTTCTTTTTTTGTCTCAGGGCCAAAGCCAGAGGTAGTTACATTATTTATAAACTAAAGATAGCAAAGAAGGTGTTACTAATTATTTTTTATAAAAAGGGAGCCTTTATTGGGTCTAATAAAGTTGAGAAACACTGACTCAAGGAACTCTTTCAAAATATTAATAACTCCCCTTTAACTACTGCCATGTTTTACAGTGAACATTTAGGCCAAAACCTATTTGTAGCAACCAAATTTGTGCTGCAGTTTATCTGCACAGCCTTGTTTCAATTACTAATTTAAAGTACCTCAATCAGAAGCAGGGGAAAGGTATGTGTAGCAGAAACCTCATATTCACCTGTGTAAACAGAACTGGTTGAGGAATGAAGCCAAATTAGTTAAAACACATCTTTTCAATTTCAACCCTAATTTGGGACCTATTGAGAACCGGACTCCACTATCAACCTTTTAACAAATTTAATAAAGCCAGTATTGTTACAGTCCACCTGGGCAAGGCAACCATCTTCTATTTATTTGTGGATAAAGTTAAATTATTCCAAACAATTCATTCACTTATTAATATTTTATTTTTTAGCTTAAGTATTTTGTTTACAACTAAGCTTGTTAACAATATATAACATTAATATATTTTAGACTATTTATTACTACCACTTTAGAAAAAGAGGAATATTCATTGCCTCTCAGTGGAATACAAATGCTGATATTTTCCATGAACTGAACTCTAGCCTTAAGGTTCTTTACATTCTTATTTCTTAATAATCCTCTGACTCCTCTTTTCCTCCCTTAATATGTTCTACTTCCTGTTTTCAAACAAGGAGTATAATGTAATAATTTCTACACAAGGACGTGTGTTGCCTGAATGCATTGTGATACTAACAGCACAAGCCAAGTCTGAGATATAGTAGCTTAAAAAGCGTTTCACATTACACAAAATGTGAACAAGGTTTTACGTTATATGATAGATAAGCCAATAAAGTACTTTCCAAAAATCAAAGAACTGTGTTCTGGATACCGAATTTCTGACAAGTGGTTTCTATAAATTTATTTTTTTAAGGCAAATTCTGTTTCATACTCCCATAAACTCAAAGTACTGGTAATATATTATAAAACCTTATCACTGTAATTTTCCCTGCAGGCAGTAGTTTCAAACCTAGAAACCTATCAAGTCCATAAACTGAGAAAGAAAATATAGTAAGAAAGAATTACTGGGGGCAGGTTCTGAACTTCTACTTTTTTCCCCAAGACACTGTATTACAAAAGGCTCAACATAACTGTACACTATAAAGCCCTTCATAGAGGACGCAACAGCATCAGGTACAGAACCTCCTTTTTGAGGGAAATCAGAATAACGTAAAAGGGAAAAGCAGAGGGAAAATGAGAAATAATTACTTTGGGAGACCACCGCCACATTAGGGTGAAATCTTTACTTTTTTCCCCCCTCTAAGCAACGGACACAGGAAACAATCTTAAGACAAACGTGGTTAACGGAACACGCTACAAAAGGAGAAAATTTAAGGGAAGGCACTCTTAAACATAGTTAAGTATCAAGTGATTAACAGCCACTTCACTGAGCGTCTAAGTCCTACTTTACCCACTCCAAAGGCCACATTCAAAGATAAAATCACAGCAGCGGAGGAAAGGCCACGTGAATAAGCTGCCTTGCAGGAAGGAAAAGCCTTAGGGGAGAAAATGATTTTAGAAAAAGTACTGGAGAACAGACGACGCGGATGCTCATTTCCTAACAAAACGAAACAAAGCAAAGAAAGTCAGTCTGCAGGACTTGTTCGGAAGGAGGGTCGCTGACCCAAGGAAACAAGAGTTGCCGGCATCCAGCAGGAAGGGTGCTCAGACTAGGAGACTGGAAGGGAATCCCGAGGGCGGAACCCACAAGGGAATGAAGAGCCTGTGGGGTAAGGATATGTTAAGGCGAGTGGAGGAGCGTACTAGGTATAAAACAAGCAAAAAAAAGGGGTGGGGCTGGACAGGGCAGCGCCCTGAGCTAATGTCACTCAAAGCCGGGGGGGCGTCCAACGAAAGGAACCAGACCAGCAGCCTGGGGGAAGGGTAATCTGCTTCCTTAGCAGCTGCAGGCTGCAGCAGCCAAGACCACCCCGTTTTCCCTGCCCTGAGCCCCACAAAGTCCCCACGGCGTGGGAAGGGAGTAAGGCAGAGCCCCAGAGCCCAGTGCCCGGAGTCGGCTTTACCTTCGCGGGAGGCTGGAGAGGCTCCAGCCCTAGCTCCTCCCGCCGCCGGCTCAGCTTCCAGAGTGGGATGAGGCGCCCTCCGGCCTCCTCACCCTCACCACTTCCCCTTTCCCCCGCCGGGGCCCTGCAGCTCCGCTGCCGCGGGTTCCTGGTGCCGCCGCGGCGCTGCCTCCCCGCCCCCTCCGCCTCCTCCCTCTGCCTCTCAGAGTTTCACTCTGGAGGCCGCCATCTTCGCTCAGGCTTTGAGCGAGCGCGCTCTAATACGCCTGCGTCGCCACCGCCCAGGCTGTCACGAGACCCAGTCAGCTGATTTCAACTCTTCCGTCTTCTGCCCCGCCCTCCCCGTCCTCCCCGTCCCGATCGTTCTTTCCCTGAAATTCTGCTTTCCTCCGGCCAGCCCCCAGCAGCTACACATGCGCAGAGTAACGACACCGGCCGTGGGATTTGGATTCCACGCAGCGCGTCAGGGGGCTGGCGCCTCGGTGGGTGCTGAAAAGGACACGCCCCTGGGCGCGCGCGGGTGCCCATGACCACGCCCCTCCGGCGGGTGCCCATGACCACGCCCCTCCGGCGTGTGCCTTAGGGCCGCGCCCCTCCGCTTATGTCCTGCGGAGAGTAGGGTCGCAACCCGGTACTTAAGCTTTAAGTCCGAGGAAATCTTGTTTTAAATCACCTCTTTTTAGCTCTTGCCGTCAAGTGCCATGGAGCATCTGCGAGGCAGTCTGAAGCCTCAGCCTATCTCCTGGTTTGGCTGGATTGGGAGCCAGCAGGTTCATTTACTATTGAGACGTCCTGAACGACAGCAGAGCAGGGTTTAAGTTATGGATGCTCTGGAAGGTCTCAGAGACCAAATTCTCAGAGACGCCTAAGGCATTTGCAGGTGGGAATGCTGGAAAGATAGTTCTGGTAGCCCCATTTATTGTGTCCGGATCAAGTGTTTAGAAGTTTACTTAAAGCTGCTTAATCTTCAACTCTCTGAGATACGAATCATCCTCGTTTTGCAGATAAGTTGAGGCCCAGCCTCAGAGTAGTGGATTTCATGTTTGCACCCAAGTAATTTGAACCCAGAACCTGTGCCCTCTAGATAACCATCTTCCTGAACCTCACCTGAGAGGGAAGTCAGGGCAGTGAAAAGAGGGGATATTGGGACTAAAGGATTCGGCTAGAAATTATGTGTTATCTGTGGGCAATGGTTTAAATAAGAAAGGTCAATGTCCACTCCCAGATCTGAGCCGTAAAGACCACAGTTTAAAAATTAGTGATTAAAAAAAAAATAGTGATTCTGCTGCAGACTTCAGAGTAGAGGCAGTGTAGGGTGACCTGCATGGATACATTATTGTATAAGGGTTAAAGGTCTCTGATAAGGAGTTGAATACTCATTCTTCATGGCAGTCCTGAAATTGTGATTTCTTGGCGTCCCCTTCAGCAAGTTGGCTCATTTTATAGACAGCGATTGCAGGATGAAAAAATGTGGAAAAATGGTTTTTACAGACTTTACCTCTTGATTCTATTAACCCTTTGCCCTACCTTAGGGCGGAAAAAGACTATTTGTGTTTATCCTTAGACTTTTCTGTAATGCAGCAGTAAGATAAGGTGCATGTAAGGGAAGGTACTAGGAATAGCTGGGTGTGGGAAGACAGAACCCGAAATAGAGTAGGAAGGGAGGAGGAGGAAAAAGAAACAGGAGGGCTGTGTTAAGGGGCCTTATTGGCTTATCCCATGGAAACAGAAACGTGTTTATGTGGTTACAAAGCCTTCCAGTAATCCCAAAAGTAAATGTGGGGTATATTATTTCGATTTTAGAGAAGCAGCAGACCCAGAGAGTCCAGGAGACTTGCTAAAGGTGACCTAACTCCTAAAGGTTGAGCCAAGATTAAGACACAGGGCCTGCCTGTAACATCAAGGCCAGTGAACTGTTCAACCTCCACACTGCCTCTCTGTTCAATATTTGAGACCAATAAAATCAATTCTCGTGTTGAGAGGAGCCTTAGGCATCATGAATTGTCCCCATCCTCTGTAGTGCAAAATTGCCTCACAAGACATCTTTTTCCATTGCATTTTTATAAGCCATTTTCCTTGTATTCAGCCAACTTGCACTCTCTTCTATGAGTAGTTATTTTGTCTTTGTTTCTTGCTCTTTTCTTCTTGTATGTGACATTCATTTAAGCACTTATCAGTACAGCTTATCACCCTTTCCCACTCCCTCTCCCGTGCATATCCTTCTAACTACCCCTGCTACAGATACTCATTTTAAGAAACCATATTCAAAGTACTTTCAACCATTGTTCACAAGATGTAGTTTCAAGCCTTTTCACAACCACTGGTTGCTTTTAATTGGATCCATACAATTGGATCCTTCTTAAAATGCCACAACAAAATACAAGAGTCAGGGAGAGTAGGACTTGTCTCTTCTTTCCCTATTAGGTTAAATCAGTTGGATCCTTTCCCCACCCAACTCTTTTTTAAGAGTGACAAATGCACACTTCTTTTTCTGGATTTGTCTTTTTATTCATAATTAAAGTTTGCACTAGCGTTTCTGACACTTTCATAGTGCAGATGTATCAAATTTACAATCTAAATTATGTGATGTACACTTAAAATATTTCACAGCTTTTTAAAAAATACATTTCACAGCCTTTTAGGCACCAATAGCCTTTATCAGTCTCCAAAGTTAGCATACAAGGCTGGAGTGATCTAAGACTTTAGAGAGCCCACAAGAATGTCAAACACTTGCTTATCTAATTCCCATTGCTGCTAAATTGACCTTCCTAATTATATCAATGCCCAGATCCAAAGTAAATCCTTAAGAACTCATACCACTCAACAATGCTTGAACTATGTTTTCAGTACAGTAGCCACTAGCCCTATGTGGCTACTGAACACAGAATAAAAATTAAAATTGTTACAAAAAAATGTAAAATGTTGCATTAGCAATTTTTATATTGATTACACGTGTTAAAAGAAAAAAATATTTAGGCCGGGCACGGTGGCTCACGCCTGTAGTCCCAGCACTTTGGGAGGCTGAGGCGGGTGGATCACCTGAGGTCAGGAGTTTGAGACCAGCTTGGCCAACATGATGAAACCCCGTCTCTACTAAATATAAAAAAATTAGGCGGGCCTGGTGGTGCATACCTGTAATCCCAGCTATTCGGGATGCTGAGGCAGGAGAATCACTTGAACCTGGGAGGGGGAGGTTGCAGTGAGCCGAGATGGTGCCACTGCACTCCAGCCTGGGCAACAAGAGTGAAACTCTCAAAAAAAAAAAAAGTATTATTTAATGATACTTGTTAAAGCTTGGTAATAGGCTGAGCATGATGGCTGACACCTGTAATCCCAAGGCTTTGGGAGGCCAAGTCAGGAGGATCACTTGAGGCCAGGAGTTTGAGACCAGCCTATGCAATGTAGTGGGACCCCATTGCTACAAAATAATAAAAATAAAAGCATTATCTGGGCATGGGGGCATGCCCCTGTAGTGCTAGTTACTCAGGAGGCTGAGGTGAGAGGATCTCTTGAGCCCAGGAGTTCGAGGTTACAGTGAGCTATAATTGTGCCACTGCACTCCTGCCTGGGCAGCAGAGAAAGACCCTGTACCCCCTGCTCCCCACAAAAAAGATTTTATTCAGTTTATTTACGATCATTACAATAGGTACAGGAGCCACTGCAACAGGGGCTTGCAGTAAGGGAGAGAGACGGGGCTCAGGTCGGAAAACGACACGGGCAAGTATGCATTTATCTCCAAGGAACAGTGTGTGGGGGTCAGTGGATGGAAAATTACTAAGAGAAAACATCAGGGGTGAGCGGGGATCCTGGCTAAACCTACGTAACAGGATTCTTGCTAAAGACAGGCCAGAGTGATTAGACATCTTCTGGGGGAAGGTGAAAGATGAGGAATCTGATCACATATCGAGGGAATTTTGGCTAAACTGACTTAGCCAGGTTCTTTTGCAGACTAGACTTTTCAAGGAAGCACACAGAGGGGCCTAAGGAAAGGTTCAGAAGCCTGATTAAAATTTGGCTGAGCAAAGACTCTTTGTCACATGTGGAAATGATAATATTATGGCTGTATATTTGGTTAAATAAAATGTTATTAAAATTAATTTCACTTGTTTCTTTTAAGGAATGTAGCTACTAGTAAATGTAAAATTAAATATATGGCTCCCATTGTATTTCTCTTGGACAATACTGCTATTAGAAAATCTTGTGCAAGCAAACAGTAAGTGTCAGAAAACAACTACGTCGAGTTGGTGAGCTTGAAGCTTCCACAGAATCTTCTACTGGACTTCATTTTAATTTGTTATGTGATTGGTTGGTTGTTTGTCTTTAGTGGTTTTTCTCAAGATTTATCTGGCCACACGTATTTAGTTTTCTGTGTTTCTCTATACTGTAATTCAAATAATTGAAATTATTTACAACATATGACAAATTATGACATGAGAATTTCTTGACATATATACATATGTATCTGTATATATATATAGGATCCACAATTTTTTTTTTTTGTAACTGATAGCCTGGCTTCCCCAGCTCACTTAATCCTACCCCAGGAAGTCTAGTTTTATTATTAATGTGAATTAAAATATCTTTTTAAATAGTATAATGATGTTCATATATAAAGGATTTTGAATTTATAATATTTTATTAACAAAAACATGCTTTCATTTAATTACAGGAAATTATCTAGATTTGATTATATTTTCAAAGATGGATGAGGAGGGAAAAGAAAATAACTTATTCTGTGGTCTAACAATTTTAAACTATTATTGAAATTTTAACTGGTTAAGAAAAAGGCCTGTGTTCTTTTTCCTTATTAAATTTTACCACAACTGCTCTTTTACAATATATACACTGCTGAGGGTTTTCTAATTCAGGTGTTCTTACTAATTAATTCAAATACTTCTTGTATTATCAGATTTGAGAAAACTCAAGAACCTTATGTGGTTTTTTCCATAAAGGGTTTTGAAGTGAACAAGATTTCCAATCTGCTATGAAATTATTATATTCAGACATTTTTAGTCATCAGCACTTGAAGGAAATATAATGTAGTTTAAAAAACTCACAGGCAAGTTCGTTATCCTCTTTGAGTCTTAGTTCCCTCTTCTGTAAACTTCAGATATTGATACCTACCTTGAGAGACATTTGCAGGAGTTACATAACTTATGTAGAGCACTTCATTACTGAGCACACACTATAGTTAATATCAGGGTCTCCAGCTTGTTTATGTAATCCTTGTCTTTGAGTTTTTAAATGAAACAGGTTTGCTGTAGTTCTTATCATCAGAGGACTAACCAGATGAAGATAATACAGATAATAACTTATATAGAGCAGTTCATTACTGAGCACACACTATAGTTAATATCAGGGTCTCCAGCTTCTTTATGTAATCCTTGTCCTTGCGTTTTTAAATGAAACAGGTTTGCTGTAGTTATCATCAGAGGACTAACCAGATGCTAATAATACAGAATGTCAGATAAGCAGATATTCTGTATTATTAGCAGAATGGGGAAAGTTCAAGTGTTCATTCTTGACAACCATATTTGAATACTCCTATCATGAGACATCATTAAATAGTTCATTTTATTTATTATGGAGAACACAGAGTTGACTTGTTCAATTCATCTGTGAATGTTAACAATGCAAAAAAGTCTTACATGCATGGAATTTCGACAGTCACAATATATTTTAAAAATGGTGATCCAAAACTTGACCATGAGGAAGTTCTTAGAATGACAATGACTCATTCACGCCTAAATCAAGGTGAGTTAATCAGGTGCAACAAAAGCTTTTTTTTCCCACTAATTTTGTTAAAGATCATTGCAACCACATAGAAGGAAAGGATATCTATTCATTAATCTTGGATAATAACTTATTCATATTATGCCTATCTGAGAACATAAAACTTCATTACCCAAATTATTGCTGGCTTTGAGCATATAAAGATGATATGACTGTTATTTCCATGTAAAACTTAATTTTGTCAATGAAAAGATGATTTTTTTTTCTTTTTGTGAGCAACAGTAAATGAGGTGGCAGCCACCTACTTAGCGTAAAGGAAAATAAAACATAAAAGAAGTAGTATTTCAAGCTCAACTAATTAGCTTGTAAAGTTATTGGTTCTCAAATCTATACAGTGAAGTCTGAGAAAAAAAAAAGTAAATCAATGTAAACCAAAATAAAAAGCACATACTAACAAAGCCAATTTGAAAAAAATCTTACTAATATAGAAGAAACTCACATATACTAGTCACTGCAAATGTTAAAGTTACTTTGGGTCTATTCCTAATCTGCCTGTCAGACAAACTTTGAGAGTTGAAGGATTATACATCATACTACTATAGAGACACATGCTCACATATGTTTATTGCAGCACTATTTACAATAGGAAAGACCTGGAACCAACCCAAATGCCCATCAATGATAGACTGGATAAAGAAAATGTGGCACATATATACCATGGAATACTATGCAGCCACAACAAAGAATGAGTTCATGTCCTTTGCAGGGACATGGATGAAGCTGGAAACCATCATCCTCAGAAAACTAACACAGGAACAGAAAACCAAACACCGCATGTTCACACTCATAAGTGTGAGTTGAAAAATGAGAACACATAGACACGGAGGGGAACATCACCCACTGGGGCCTGTTGTGGGGTCGGGGGAAAGGAGAGAGAGAGCATTAGGACAAATACCTAATACATGCGGAGCTTAAAACTTAGATGACAGGTTGATAGGTGCAGCAAATCACCATGGCACATGTATACCTATGCAACAAACCTGCACGTTCAGCACATGTATCCCAGAACTTAAACTAAAATTTTGTTTAAAAAAGGTTTTTTTAAAAAAAGTCTATAACCATCAGCGCATGTATCCCAGAACTTAAAGTAAAATTTTAAAAAAAGTATGGTTTGAACATGTTAAGTTTTAGAAACCCTGTATATTTCCAGAGTAAATACTATTGCCTACCCAATATCATTTTCCTCTTCTTCCCTACAAGTTGAAGGTGGCAATGTGCCACCTACAAGTACTACATCGTCAACCTCCTCTCAGATCGGCTGACCATATCAGAGATGACATAAGTCTGGCCGATGAAACATAAGCAGATATTGTTGGTGTGGGCTATCAGATTCAGCTAGTAGGTGTCCTTTTTCCCCCACCCTTTACGTTTTTTTTGTGCCCAGAGCATAGTTGTGATGGCTAGAGCTGCTTGTCTGTGGGCATCTGCTTCATTTCTGAATTCATTACTCAATGATGTTACATTTTTTAAGGGCTGGGCTATTGAGTGTCACTGTGTTATTCATGCAAATAAAAAGAAATTAATAGAGTATTACTATTTCAGCACAATATAGTAAGAGGCTACCAATAAAAATAGCCACATTAATGAGCTTCACAGAACAAAGTGCAATTTTGTTTGGTATTCCTTTGAATCTCTTCACCAGAGTACAGCACAACTGGAATCTCTAAATACTACCTAAATAATAAGTAAAGTAGAGCAAAAAGAAAATAGTATACTATACTAGAAAGAAACAGAGGTTTAGTTACAGCAAGTAAGGTATTATTTTTTTTCTGGTTTATAACTGTCTTCTGACAATGTATTTACTTACTAGGGGATATATTTTTTTCTCTACCTTACAAATGTTCAAATCCCAGTTCTACATTATTAGCCACTTAACTTTTGAGCCTCAATTTCTTTATCAATGAGATGAAGGTAATAATTCATGTCAACAACAGTTGTTTTGATATTATATAAGAATCAAGATATGCTATGCTATCTAATATTGATGAACCAATATTATTTAATATTATAAATGTATATAATAGAAAAATAAAAGTCATAAACTCTAAAAAATGGGATAAGGGAGAGGGAGATAGTCTAAATGTGCCAATTCTTTATTTAATAATAGGGAGTGAATTAATACTTTCCCAGATTTTAAAAACCAAGAATGAAGGGCAGAAGGAAAATAACGTTTATGGATCATTTAGTAAGCACCACTCATTCTCCGTAAGTGTTAACTTTCTCCCTTCCTTATATACCCTTTGTTTTCTTCCTCCGTAATTCTAGAAGCAGATAATGCAATATTTGGAGTAGTACTGTATTAAGTAAGCGTTTAGGGCACCAGGAAAGCAAGGACCATCAAGATGAAATAAACTTGAAAAGGATTTGCTAACTAATGTTTTATAAAAGGCATCAAAATAATAATCACAGTGGAGAAATTAGAACTTTGTTATGTTTCCTTCACTAATTTCATGAGTATAGAATTGAGAACCTCTAGCGATATAAAACCAGCTCTGAATTGGAGAGATTTAAAAAAAAATCTGTGAAAATATGGAACAAGAGGCTTTATATAACTATGATGATAACAGGAAATGAAGATAGGCCTGAGAGATCAAAGGAGAGTTATAAGAGAAGGCTTTGCTGGACATTGAAAGTTTACCACGCACCCTGCTCTGTTAGAACAGCCTGTTGCTACCTGTTGCTAACCCCATCTGTACAGTTGAAGATGCTCCCCAACGTTCAGAGAGCTAATGGGATTTGTCCAAAGCCTCAAAGTCAAGTAAGTGCCAGAGTTAGAATTTGAACCCAAATCCAGTTGGTTCCATGGCCCAGCATTCTCTAAGAGCAATCACTGACTGCTGTTTTTATTTCTAAGTCAAATGGTACGCTGTGAGTAAATGGAATAAACTGACTGAAATCTTCTTTTGGTCCTTCCTCTGGGAATTTTAAGATTTTATGTCATGACTAGAACATAAACTGTGTAGTGGTTATTATATTACTGTCAGTAGGTGGGGGAAAAGATACGTACATATGGAGGTCACAGATAGTCTTAGGGGGATTACAAAGGTGATAAATAGAATTTCCACTGGAGAAAAAATGTATATGTTAATAGTTATTTAGAAATGTTGTAGTTATATTTTTCCTGAGATTCATTATCATTTCCACTCTAAGGATTTTCCAACATGTAGTCTTATTTATAGGCTTAGTTATATCAGCTTCCCCTTTATGATCTGAAAGCAGAGTCTTTCAAAAATTATATGAATAGATTGGATTAAGGAACTCTTTAAAAATATACCAGATCATTAAATGTAATTGCCTTCTTATCCTTTTTTTTCTGTATAATCGGAGAAGACATATACTTTCTTTAATATGTATTTCTTTAACCTATATGTCAGTGTGTAAATATTGATTACTGGAAAACCATGTGTTAGTTCACTTGGGCTGCTATAACAAAATACCATAAACTTACAACTTATAAACAACAGAATTTGCGGGCGATTGGGTGCGGTGGCTCATGTCTGTTATCCCAACACTTTGGGAGGCTGAGGCAAGTAGATCACTTGAGTCAAGGAATTTGAGACCAGCCTGGGCAACATAGTGAGACCCTGTCTCTACCAAAAAAAAAAAAAAAAAAAAAGCTGGGCATGGAAAAAAAACAAAACAAAACCCTGTGGTTCCAGCTACTCAGGAAGCTGAGATAGGAGGATCACTTGAGCCCGGGATATTGACACTGCAGTGGGCTGTGACTGTGCCACTGCACTCCAGTCTGAGTGACAGAGTGAGACCCTGTCTCAATAATAATAACAACAATAATAATAAAGCCCAGAATGTATTTCTCCCAGTTCTGGAGCCTGGGAAGTCCAAGGTGCTAGCAGATTTGGTGTTTGGTGTGAACTCTCTTTCTGGTTGGTAGATGGTGTATAGCAGTGTCCTCATATCATGGAAGGGGTAAGGGATTTCTCTCAGGCCTCTTTTACAAAGGCATTAATCTTCCCAAAGGCCCAACCTCCTAATACTATCACCTTGCAGGGTAGTATTTCAACATACAAATTTTGGGGGGTTGCAAACACTCAGACTATAGCAATATGTAACTATTAGAAAACTATGTTTGCCATAAGATATTTCTGTATTTATATATGTTAAACATATAATTTAAGATTGTTTCCAAATATGAAAATGAAATAGCATTTATTTTTGAATTTAAATCTCTGTCAGCAACCAAATTGATTCTAAAACATAAACCCAGGTTTAGCAAAAATGTCCTTGACACACAGTGAGAAATTCAAATAGACAATGGTTTCACGGTGCCTTAGCTCTGAAACAAGTGAAAGTGGAAAATTCTTTTTATTGAACACTTTCCAAGAAAATACACTATTTCTTATTAAGGTTTTCTATACTATCTCATATAACCAAGGAAAAGATATCCTAGTTAATCCAAAGTTCTGGTTAATTTGGGGCAAATTTTTAAAGAAATGTCATATGTCATATATCATCCTATCTCATATATATCATTTATTGAACAGCTACTTTGTGCTGGGCCCTCTACTAAGGACTTTAATGCATCAACTCATTTTATTTTCATAACAGACAGGAAAACACTGTTATTATCCCCATTTTACAGATGACAAACCCAATACTTTAGAGAGGTTGTTGAGTTTTCCCCATGTCATATCACTAGAAAGCAGTAGTGCTTTTCAAACCAGGTCTGTTGGATTTCAAAGTCCATGCTGCAAATCACTACATTTCATTTAGTACGTACGCTCTAGTAGCCATGACTTCCTCTTTCCTTAGTCATTCAGGAGTCACTTCTGGTTATCATTCTACTAAAAACTTATATTAGAGATTTTCAAATGAAGGAAAGACAGTGCAACTCTTTCACACTTGGTTCATAGAGCATTTTCTCAGAATAACATGGCTTACAACTTGTGTTTTATTCTTATAAATATACTTTTATAATACTATATTATCTTTTTATTAAAATCTGTCCTACAGATAAACTATCTCCTCAAAAACATCGCGTCTAGGAGTACAAAATTTTAAATAACAGAAAATATGACTTGCCCACATCTGTAGCCTTCCTCAGTTCTAGCTCATCTGTAGGCTAAATTAGGAGTAAAAGAAATGGAAATAAAATAGTCTATTTCTAGTGAAAGCAAATAAATGACAAAGGGGAAGTAAAACTGCAAAATAATCTAAAATGAACTAAAATTAAACTGTGTAGCATTGAAGTTGGTGGATTAAAGAGGGGATTTTCATAGTTTTTTTTTTTAAGTAAAATGGCTGTATCTTAGTGTTTGAGTTAACTTATTACATAACCAGTTGACATGAACACAAGGTCCAAGTCTACATGACAGCAGGTAGATTAAGAAATCAGGTCCTGGAAGCCATTGGCTCTTTCCTTTGTTTCCCTTAGCTTTACCCCTTAACTCACATACTTCCTCTTCCATTTGGTAAAAGATGTCTTAAGAAAAGGAAAAACCTAGCTCAACAATGGGAACACTCTCTCAATATTTTAAGAAGGGAACAGGTGGATTTATTACTACCTGGGCAGTTAGCAGTGGTGATGACCTATACAAAATATGGGAAGGGATTTCTAGTTTTATCTCCAAAAATGTTTAATATACTTGTCTTTATTTTCCTCTTCAGCTTTAATTTTTTTTTCATTTTGCTTCACTTTTATCACCCTACCCAACTTTACTCAAGCAGACTTTTGTATAGAAAATAACCAAAGGCATTCAGCCATCAACAGTTAAAGAGGCCTTCTACGTAGTCAGGCCATCTCTCAGCCAACATTTATTACAACAACAACCCAATTAATGTCATTCTTAAGAGTCTGCTAACTTCAGTGGCATTTCGATTACACAATTTTAGGTTATTAGAGTGGTTCTCATTGAGAAGGGGAACCAAACATTCCTTGTTGCCCTCCCTTCAGGATATGCTCTTGAATATTTCTTCCACTGAAGGTTTCCTGGAAATGGTGAATCCAGTGCGGCAAAGCAGGTGGAATGGGGTAGTGAGTTGGCTGTCCAAAAGAAAGTCTGACTGCCTCTGCTTGGTTCACCAGTGGCCAGCTAGGAATACCACAATCATTATTACAGATCATTCCCATTAACTCATAGTCCTGAGATCTTACTCAGGTCTCTAGCAACTCAGACTGTGAGTGGTAAATTTCAGTTCTGCCTGTTGAGGGGCCAGAGTGAACCATGTAATTCCCGAGACTCAAACAAACCTCTGAAGAGAAGCTGCTTATCTGATTTGCATAAAAACTCTGACTGCACTAGTCAGTTAGGGTCATCACAGTTTTAAGAATCAATAAATCAAAATTCCCAGATAAATTTTGAAGATCATAAAAGGATTTGTTTAGACTAGTTGAATATACTGTTTTATTAGAAGGATGGAGTTTTTACAAAACATCCATTTTTACCATAGCACATGAAATAACTACAAAACGCATGTAGTAGGAAGCTAATAAATAATTCTGCTTCCCTGAGGAACTGATTTGACAGCAGCCCAAATAGCCTTTAAAGCTCTAATTTAGTTTCTGTCCCATCCTGCT
This sequence comes from Homo sapiens, assembly GCF_000001405.40. Lineage (NCBI taxonomy): Eukaryota > Metazoa > Chordata > Mammalia > Primates > Hominidae > Homo > Homo sapiens. The sequence continues at coordinate 132,405,432 of NC_000003.12, read as the reverse complement.
TTCTGTTATACCTATTTCCTCCTTGTGACCCAGTATATGATTCAAATAGAAGCTGTCTAGGGTCATTAAAGCAAGCTGTTGCAGAAGCTGGGCTGTTGATTCAACATTTGGCAGACTGTTCAGTGAAAGCCTTGATTTCATTTTTGTTAGGCCAGCAAACAATAGCAGCACACTGGCTCTGCTGATAAAAAGAATAAAGAAAACAAACCAATATGACATTTATATTTCTAAACAAAAGAAGGAGGGGGTTTCTCCCTATTCCACACTTTTCTGGCATGAGAAAGTCTTAAGTAGCCAGAATGAGAACTGGTTAATTCTCTGATAGTAAAGGTTTAAAACCAAAATTCATAAAAATACATAAAAAAGTAAAGTAGATAATTGTCTTCCTCCCAGCCCTTCACTTCCTACACTGATGACCCTCTTCTCTTCCTACTCTGTTCTACATTGCTATCTGCTCAGTACAATTATTCTCTTTATAAAGCAGGCTATTTAGAAAGGAAAAGATTCACTGCTTTGTAACCTTCATGCTGCCATGAGCAGTGTCCTGGTTTATAGTTCAAAGCTGATATTGACCAGCATGTCAGAAGAATTTGTACAGTACTTTCTACTTGTCACTGCACAAAATGGAATTTTGATGATAAAGTTAATCACTATAGATCCTAAATTAGGCAAAGCAAGAGCCCACTTCGGGTGCCTATATTAATAAAACAATCCAGGCATTAGACACATCTTAGTATGAACCTGCATATCTCCAAAATTTTTGATCAGACTAATGATAGATAATCTGAGCACTGAGAAGAGGAGAAGTTTTTCATGGCTGAAAGCATAACTCATTACGATCAGCATAATTCTTATCTCCCTAACAAGCAGCAAATTAATAATGTCACATTAAGGAGGCTTGGGCTTTTGTTGATCAGTGTCTTCTGGAAACAGGCCTCTTGGCGCAGTCATATCCTGAATGACGCAATTTGTAAAGGGGTCTTAGTCTAACACAGGGAGGCTTCAGGCAAGCTCACCCTTATCTCCAGTGAGTCTTTTCAAACACTATTTGCTGAGGTCCTTTAATATAACTTGTCTAATTTTTTTTTTTTTACAAAAAAGCATGAATCAAAAACTGATGAGAAGCACTATATTGGAATCTACCACAATTAACATTTTGTGGTGGCATTACAAAAAAATGTTTCTTAATTTCACTGTGCTTTTCTATAGTACCCAAATTTTTGATCTCGAACAAAATAAAACAGTAAGAAATATTTTTCAGAATCTTACCATTTTCTAGTTGCTGCATAGCTTAGGTAAAATTGAATGGGTGAGTAATAAATCAACAGAAAGTCTCAGTGGTCATTTCATAGTTGTATTAGTCCATTTTCACACTGCTATAAAGAACTGCCCAAAACTGGGTAATTTAAAAAGGAAAGTGGTTTAATTGATTCACAGTTTAGCATGGCTGGCCTCAGGAAACTTACAATCATGGCAGAAGGTGAAGGGGAAGCAAGGCACCTTCTTCACAAGGCAGCAGGAAGGAGAATAAACACAGAAGGAGCTACCAAACACTTATAAAACCATCAGATCTCATGACAGCTCACTCACTATCATGAGAACAGCATGGAGGAAACCGTCCCCATAATTCAATTACCTCTACCTGGTCACTCCCTTGACATGTGGGGATTATGGAGATTATGGGTATTACAATTCAACATGAGAGTTTGGGTGGGGACACAGCCAAACCATATCAATAGTATCATTTTATTTGGGGGTAACGATCAGAATCTAGGCATGACTTTGTTATCACAAAAAAGAAAATACCTTGTAAGATCAAACAGTAGGGAGAAAGAATATGGAATCATACTTTAGTTTGAGAGCCAGATGTACTAGGCTCTCACATCTCAGTGTGCATATGAAGTTTGAGTACTGTCCAGTCAGGATCAGAAACCTCTATTTTCAGCCAGAGTGGATTAGACAGAAGAAATGTCCACAGTAGCAATTTGATTTCTTCTCAAGTATACTTCTGCACCTTGGACCAAAAGAATCAGCATCACCTGGGAACTTGTTAGATCAGCAAATTCTCAGAATTTACCCTGGACCAACTGAATCAGAGTCTCTGTGGATAGGGCCCAGAAATCTGTTTTAACAAGTTGAATGTGATTGATTGTGATTCTGATGCACATTCAACTTGCAGACCTACTGGAATACAAATTCAGTAGCAGTTTAGAGTGGGAACTTTGGAACCAGACTACATGACATTGAATCCCATGTCTATCATTTACTAGTAGTTCTTTAAGAAAGCAGAATTTAAGCAAGTTATTAAAACCCTTTGTGCCTCAGTTTCCTCATCTAAAAATAGGGCTAGGAATAATAGCTTTTAAATGTTTGTTAAGACTAGAGCAGTAAATATTTATGAAGCACTTAGAATAGTCTCTGACACATGCTAAGTGCTTTGAAAGTTTCCCATTATTCTCCTAGGACTGTAGGAATATCCAACTTAATGTTTCTGGAATCTCTAAGTCCCAATAGGAAAGCAAACATGTATCTCATATCAAACAAGTATCATGTCATTTATGCATTCGTTCATCAAATATTTATTGAAAATCTACTAAGTTTAAGGTATAATGATAAGTTCTTCACATTTTTAGATAGTAACTCATAATCTTAAAAGACATATTTAAGAGTGCATTAGTCAGAAGCCCAGATGATGGTAACTGGATCAGACTGGGAGGGGTAGAAATGGAAAAAACAAACAAACAAACAAACAAAACCCCTACTTTAAAGAAAAGTATATCTATTTAACCAAAAACAGAATAGAAGATCCACATAATACTCCCTATCAATGAGGATTCCTAACCTCATCTTAACTTCTCTTCTAATTGTAATACTATTTTCCATGTGACAGTGGTGGACTGATTACTGTATTTGCTACCTCAATTTTGTTAAACATGCTTATTTAAAAGAAAGATGTATAACTCAATAAAGAATATAATTATTTCTTTTATTCAACTGATTTTGCTCTCTCCATTTTATTTCCACTTAATGAATTTGCCTGACAATCTTGATGCACATGTGGAAATTTTGCCTTTATAGATCAAAAGCTATCTCAAGTATTGGACTATAGGTTTTTTTGTTTACTTTATTTATTTTTACAATTTCTACCTATCTACTGTGATTCAGGTACTATCATCTGGTCCCTGACTGACATAATTCACTCTTAAATATGGCTTTTAAGATTATGAGTTAGATAAAAATGTTCAGCATCATGTCTTGAACCTAGTATATTTTCAATAAATATTTGATGAATGAATACACAAATGAATGGTGTAATACTTGTTTCATATGGAAGACATGTTTGCTTTCCTACTGAGAATATGTGTATTTTCCCATCCTTTATTTATTTATTTAAATTTTTTTGAAACGGAGTATTCTGTTTCATCACAAACACAAAGATCTGAAACCCCATTTTTGAGCCATCTCTGTATATAATAAGAATCCAGCCTGCATCTGTCAGTGATAGAGAGTACAGTAAACTAAGATGTCCCTGAAGAGGCCATAGTGTTGACAAAATTCAACATGATGGTGGAGTCTACACAAACACAGGAAACAAAACTCGGCCCTTCCACACAGCTGTCCTTGCAATGACTTCGTTTTAAGTCAACGTCTCTTCATGCTGTGCATATTCCCCAATGTCTGCTTGATGAAGTACCACAATCGCCATGGGGTCTACTTTTCTGCAGTCTTGTGTAGATTTTGCTGCCACCCCAAAACCCAAAGGGATGTCTGCCATGGAGTACACCACCACTCCCCTGGTACTGAGAACTATTTTCGGTGATTCGACCCAGACTATATTTCAACACATGGTTTCCATAGAGGAAGGACTGCTCTGCACCACGCTTTATCCACACTTTATACTCGGCATAAGGTGCAAGGTAATTCAGGGCTGTGACGTGAACCGAAACTTGTGGGTCTTAGTGACTTTTCCGAAGCAGGTCCCCAGTGACACCAGCTTGTCCCCGGAGATATTGGCATCCAGCTTCACAATCTTCTCACTCACATAGTCCACCCGGTCGTTGTGCAGCCAGAAACAGTAGGTGCGGTCAGGCCGGTCCAGCAGCAGCTGAAGATTCTCCCTGATGTACTTCACAATCTTCTCAAACATGACATGGGTCTCCTCTTCAGTCAAAGGCCGCATTTTCCTGCTGGGTTGGAACACCAGATCCTCGTGTCTCAGTCTTATTTATTTATTTTTAAGAGATGGAATTTCTCCCTGTTGTCCAAGCTGGAGTATAGTAGTGTGATCATAGCCTACTGCACCCTCGAACTCCTGGACTCAAGTGATCCTCCTGCCTCAGGCTCTCGAGTAGCTGGGACTACAGGCACACACCCATACTTTTAATCAATGTGTATTATATTTGAATTGTGTTTCTTGTAAATAGCATAGAGTTGAGTCACGGTTTTTAAAAATCCATTTTGACAATTTCTTTTTTAAAAAAAAATCTCACTTTTTTGAGGTCCGACATATAAAAGAAGTTTTTACATATAACTTGTATATATAAAATGTATACTGCTTGATGAGCTTAGGGAAAATTCCTATTTTTAAATTAGTATGTTTGGATCATTTACATTCATGTTATGATTGATATGTATGGATTTAGATTAATGGTACTACAAAATTTGGCTGCTGTTATTTACTTTTCAGAGTCTTCAAATACTTGTTCTTGCCTTCTGTCCAGGGTTTGTAATTATATTCAGTGTGAGAAAAGGTGTGAAGCATGCTTACTCCTTCTTACGTGAAACTGGAACTCTGGGGATAATTATTGTTAGAGCTCCCCTTAAATCTAGGGATCAGAGTCCAAGTTTTTTAATCTTACATGAACATTTTTTTTTATCAAATCACAATCTCAAATTTGCTTTTAAAAGCTATTTTCCTCCAGCAATTAAAACAGTGCTCTCCAAAACTCCCAGGATGGGCTGCTCAGAAAACTCTTCCCAGTACACTGCTATGGTTTCAGGAGTTCCCCATAGTTCGGAGTTGCTTGAGGTGAGCATTCATGATGTTGTAGACTTTTCTAACCAGACCAAACCAAATCACTAGATGGCTAGTGTCACCAAATTATTGTATCTATTTATTTTTTTTCAACCAATGTTTTTAAAGCATTTATTATGGGTCAGGCTCTGTTCTAAGTATTGGGGATGTAGTAGTGAACAAGAAAAGGCCCTTGCTCTAGTGGGTGAGGGGGAAGAGATAAAGACAATAAATATATAGAAATATGACTGAATCAGACAGTTTAAGTTAGTGCTAAGTGATATGAAGAAATAAAATCAGGGTAATGGGCTAGAAAGTAATGGGGATGAGAAGGACAGAGTAGCCGCTTTACTCACTTGGTCAGAGAAAGCCTCTCTAGAAGGTGACATTTGAGTTGAGGCCTGAATCTTGATAATAAAAGAATCTGGTGAAGAAATGGGTGGCAGAAGGTTTCAGGAAAAGAGAAATAAAATTGCAAAGACTTGAACTACTTTTTGTTCTACCTTTCCTTCTGCATTTCTGACCACAGAATTTAAATCTGCATGAGGAAAAGTGTTTTTTTCCCCCAACAGCTGGGAACCTTAATTGAAACTCGAAGTGTGTAAACTAAACATACGAACCTCAAACCATGTAAGCTACCCCAGAATTAGACTGATATAACTCACTCCCCAATATTTTTTTCTTCAGATCAGTGATACCCAAATTCTGGCCCAATATTAAGGGAATTTGGACAGAGTTTTAGCTAGGTATAATGTTTTGAAGGAGGGAGTCAGATCATCAGATTGTTGATAAGAAATCCAGATGCACTATTCCATTCTTTCACAGAAGACACCAAAACATATTATTTGCATTTAAATCACATTTTTAAACTGCCATGAAAGCAAGCATGCAAAGACCACCTGTGGACTGTAGATGGCAGACTATACCCACAAACTAGTGGTTGAACCCTCTGAGCAACCTCAGAAACATTTGGGAAAGACTATGGGCCCCAGCTTCTTGTGTCACAATGATTATACCATGCAAAAGATCTATAACAAGGATATTTACAAATGTTGGAACAGTGGGAAGGTTCTGTATACTGATACCACTGAAGTTACCCCCTCATGGTAACGAGACATTTGAGAGGCCCTGCTCTGAGAAATACTGTTTTAGTGACTAAAACATCCCAGACTCAGCCCTATAGGATGAAAGCTAACATGTAAGTAGTACTTACAGATACTGACAATTGTCTGTGATTAAGACTGTTGAGAGAAAGCGGGTGGAGTGGGGGGTCTTTGGAGTTCTTAGTACTTTCTAGATTGAAAAACAGTATCTGGTGCACTCAAGCAGTATAGTAAGAAAAGGCGGTAAAACTTCCAAAAATGGCATCTTTATAAATTGCATGATTTTGTGACATCAGCCATTTGCTAGCCTAGGGATTCTGTTTGGTTTGGTCTTAGAAAAGTCTACTGCATGATTCTATTTTTATGACTGCCTCGAAAAGACAAAATTATAAAGATGGAGAACAGATTAGTGGTTGTCAGGAGTTATGGGCAGGGGGAGGTGGTGACCAAAAAGAAATAGCACAAGGGATATTTTGGGGGGTGATGGAACTGTTTTACATCCTGATTATGGTGGTAGATAACAGGAATCTACACGTGTTAAAATTTAGAGAATGTACACTCATACACACACACAAATTTACTCAAAATAAAATTAAAGAGTAATATAAAAGAGATTTTCCTAGTAATAATGACTTTTCCCTTCAAAAAGCCATTGAAGAAAAGCAAGAGGTTGAAGAAAAAATGCTCATGAAGAAAAGGAGCCCAAATTCTCCACTCCCTCAATCACAGTTACCAAATTTTGCTCAGGTCTCTGCCTTATTCCATCAAAAATATAGCTATTGAGTGAGTCTAAGATAAAAGTCTTCCATAGATACATCATTGAATAATATACACTTATGCTTTAAAGAGTAAATGATAGTTGTTCAGCTATGAATTAGTATTCACTTGTATCATATACAGCTGGGACCATGAACTAGGTCTTTCACAAAATGAAAAAATTTTAATTGTAATTCGTCAAAAAATTAAATTAACAAGTTAATTTAATAATAAGCAGTTTAATTAATGGACACATAATGAATATTTAGACCTGTATTCCACCAACCCATTTATCTAACTTTAATCTGTAATTAAATTTCACTAAAATTCATTAAAATTCAAAAGACATGCTCTTTTTAAGCTTCTAGTAGTACATTTTGTATTAAGGTGGTAAAACTAACCAATAAAACAATTTTGAGTTATATATTCCGATCTTATAGCAGTATACTATATTTCCTAAAACTTAAAGATTCACTTTTATTTGTTTCATTTCTTAAAATGGTATGTTCTCTTGCCAATGTGAAGCTCAAGGCAGATTTATTTCTCTTTACCTAAATGCATTCAGGGAGTTTTTAAAACAAATGCAACTTGTCTTGTTCAGAATGAATTAAATTCAGTGTTGGGAATAAGGAACCGGTTTTAGAATCCAGACCAATCACAGAATGGTGGCGTGATCCAGTGGGTCCCTTAGTCTGTTTTCCAACAGCCTATCTCCCAAATGAAAATGTGGGATGTGATTAGCGACATGTGTTTCCTCTCTACTCACAGGAGTTCATAACAAGGTGAATTATACTAATTATAATACTAACTACCACTGCACTAGGTTATTTATATATGTCATCTAACTGGATTGTCACAGACCCTTATGAAATAGATGTTGTAAGTAGATCTGTTAACTACCAGAAATTTGAAATTTTGAAGTTTAATTCCAGCTCTGAATCCTGGATGTCATGACCTTGCAAAGCTCAGGATCCTTACTTCTACTCTGCTCCAAACAAGTCTTCCTTGCTAGAAATGCCTTCACTGTGTCATCTGCTGACCTCTCTGATGATGTCAGCTGTTGGGTCTTAGTTCTTTAAGCTCCTCAGTTGCTACCATTACCCTGTAGACTTTTAATGGTCTAATAGTTGTTCCATCCAAGATGTTATTATTGCTTGAATTCACCTCCAATCACTTTATTTTCACTCCAATTGTGTCCAGAATTGGTGGGTTCTTGGTCTCGCTGACTTCAAGAATGAAGCTGTGGACCCTGTGAGTGTTACAGTTCTTAAAGATAGGGTGTCCGGAGTCTGTTCCTTCAGATGTTCAGATGTGTCCAGAGTTTCTTCCTTCTGATGGGTTTGTGGTCTCGCTGGCTTCAGGAGTGAAGCTGCAGACCTTCACAGTGAGTGTTACAGCTCATAACGGTAGTGTGGACCCAAGAAGTGAGCACCAGCAAGACGTATTGCAAAGAGCAAAACAACTAACCTCCCACATAGTAGAAGACCCAAGCCGGTTTCCACTGCTGGCCCGGGTAGCCTGCTTTTCTTCCCCTATTTGGCCCCACCCACATCCTGCTGATTGGTCCATTTTACAGAGAACGGATTGGTCCATTTTACAGAGAGCTGATTGGTCCGTTTTGCAGAGTGCTGATTGGTCCGTTTTGACAGAGTGCTGATTGGTGTGTTAACAAACCTTTAGCTAGACACAGAGCGCTGATTGGTGCATTTACAATCCTTTAGCTAGACAGAAAAGTTCTCCAAGTCCCCACCAGGTTAGCTAGACACAGAGCACTGATTGGTGCATTTACAAACCTTTAGCTAGACACAGAGTGCTGATTGGTGCGTTTACAAACCTTTAGCTAGACACAGAGTGCTGATTGGTGCATTTACAATCCTTTAGCTAGATGGAAAAGTTCTCCAAGTACCCACCCGTGCCAGAAGCCCAGCCGGCTTCACCTTTCACTGGCACTTGCAGCGGGACTTTGCCGCATCTAGCGGGAGCACTCTGGCAGCCCAGAGGGAGCTCATCCCTGGATGAAGCCCAGCAGGCGCTGGCCGGCTGCGCCCAGTGCGGGGCCTGCCTAGCTGGCGCCCACCCAGAACCTGCACCAGTCCGCGAGCGCCTCGCACAGCCCCGGCTCCTGCCCACGCCTCTCCCTCCACACCTCCCTGCAAGCAGAGGGAGCCGGCTCTGGCCTCGGCCAGCCCCATAGAGGGGCCTCTGCAGCGCAGCGGTGGGCTGAAGGGCTCCTCCAGCGTGGCCAGAGCAGACGCCCAGGCCAAGGAGGCGCTGAGAGGGAGCGAGGGCTATTAGCATGTTGTCACCTGTCACAATTCAGTTACCCATTCATTGCATTACACTTTGTAATTGGGAGTTTGAACCATCTTAGAAATCGAAGTCTAAAGTTCCAGTAACTGACCAAACCTTTCGTCCTTCTGGCTCTTACTCCATTTAATCTCATAAAAACCTCTGATCTGCCTGTTCTGTCCATCTTCCCCTTTGTGTCAGCTCCACATCCTTTCCACCTCTTTTCTCCTTGCCCAGCTTGAAATTCACAACTATTCATTTGACTTTCTTAATGTCCGCCTCTTCCTTTTTTAAGCCAGCAATTCTCACAGGTTCATCCAAGGCACTCAATGTAGTACCTGAGTATTGCTGCTGGTTATTTGGGGCCCAAGGGCTCTTCCGTCAGCAGGTGATGAATGCCGCCAGCACTGGGTCCTTTCCTTCAATATTGTGGGTTCCCTTTTGGCCCAAGGTGTATCTAGAAATGTCATCTGGGAGCTAAGGCCAGAACCAGTGCCCTATCTTGCTGTGGTTGAGCTGGTATCCAAGACCCAAGATAAAGTCTCCCCAACTATTTCCTCTTCTCTAGTCAAGTGGAAGGAAGGGAGCCACAAGCTGTGCAGCTTGGGGTTAGGGGAAAGGTGATTCCAGCACTCCATTGGCTGCCCCAGTTGGTATGATGCCCCCAGACCACTGTCTCTGGGCCTAGTTCAGCACAAGGACTTGCTTAAGTGTTGCAGTCCTTATGGCCTAGACTTCCTTTTAAGTTTTCTTGGAGACAGACAGCACTATAACCCCCAGTGGCAAAATTTATGGGAACTCAAGTTTAAACCCCTGGGATCCATGATTCCTCTCTGGCTAGGGCTAGTTTAAATGCTCCCTCTATAGGCAGGGGTCAGCTGAGTTTAGTCTGGTTTTCCTTTCTGCTCTAACAGGACAGCACCCAGTGGCTGTGTTCTTCCACTCCAAATTCCCAGAGATGCTCTCTGCACCACTCCCTACCACTGCCAGGATGGGGGAGGGGTGGCCTCAGTGACTCAGGCCTGATTTTTCTATCTCTTCAGTGCCTCTTTCAGCGATATGAAGTTAAAACCAGGTACTGTGAGTGCTCACCTGAGTTTTTTGTGGTTTTTTTTTTTTTTGAGACTGTCTCTCCTTGCTCCTCAGATTGCAGATAGCCTATTGTTGGACCTTGTAATCATGTAAACTAATACTTAATAAACTCCCCTTTATATATATCCTGTTAGTTCTGTTCGTCTAAGAGAACCCTGACTAATACACCTCAGTTTTCTCATTTTGGGAGATTAGCTGAATTAATTCATGCTTATCTCTGAATGAGCACAATGTTAAGTACCCAATGTTAGCTGTTATTAGTAAGATGAGTAAATTAGGACTCCTATCCTTCCCTCTACTTCTTTCCCTACTCTTCTGTATGCACTGTTCTCCCATCCTAACAACTTTTGTTAGCTTTGGTCATCTCTTCTGTAATCATAATTAATCCTTGCATGCTTTATTCATTGGTTGAATCTAAAATCAAAAATATCAATGCACAGTATTTCTATTGTGATTGTGTTAACATTGTTTACTATCCTATGATTTCAAAGTGTCTTATTTTATTTTTTATTGTATGCCTTCATCAAACACTAAGATGATGTATCTGCCTTAAACATATTCCATCTTTGATAAGTGATGTAATATAATTGTTGAAGACGGATTTCCCAGAACCATCTGACTTCTTATTACAATCTGAACCAGCTGCTCTCTGGGCTGGATGCCAAGCTGTCATCCTGAGTTTTTTTCCACCCAAGTCCTGGGTTGGAGTCAGTGTTCTGGGATCTCAAGTTTTTACGTTTCTTGGACTTAATTCTTGTTCTGGCTGGAGAACATCTTCAAGTAATTTTCTTGAAAGGGTGCATGATAAATCAACTTGATGAATTTTTACATGCTGGAAAGTGACCTCAATTTTTCCCTCTCACTTTCTCACTTGATTGATATTTTTACTGAGTGTGGAATGTTAGGTCCATAATTATTTTTCTCAGAAAGTTGAAGTTATAGCATCTAGGTATTCTAATAAGAAATTACATTCTTTTTTCTTTGTAGGACATAGTGGTCCCCCTCTAGAATCTTTCACAATGCTCTCCATGCCCAAAGTGTTCTGAAATTTCTTGAAAATGTTCTGCGTTTGGGTCTTTTTTTAAAAAAAAAATTCATCTTGTGGTCATGGTTACACTCATGTATACAAGTGGTAAACATTATTCAAAAAAACTGCATGTTGAATTGAATTGTACCATCAGGAAGAAGAAATCCTATAATGCTTAAAGCCTGTGCCACAACATTCAACGTTAGATTGTACCATTATGTATGGTTTCTCTAATTGTTTTATGTGTATATATGTTTAATGTCTTGAACTTCATCCTAAGCAGGAAATACATTTTTTTCTCATCTCAGTCTGTCCCTGTCAGTCTTTCAGAAGACCAAAAGTGGTAATTTTGTGCATTAAGAATACCCTGGACTGAATGGTGCTCTCAAGAGGCCAGGAAGATTATCTGTGTAGGAAGGAGAAAGGAGATAAACTAAGTGACTTCAAGTAACTTGGAAAAATTTCTAGCCCACTGTACCCAGGATTTGTGTCCTTTCAGAAGGGGCCATTCATTATTTTCTTTTGGCTTGTGGGAGGGAGAATGCATGTTTTTCCATCCTGGGAAACTTGCTTCATAGTCTGACTTCATGGCCAGACCTGCTTGAAGTCAACCAGTTACTAAAGGGCATCCATGTACCTGTGTAATTTTGTAGATGTTGCATGTCAGCTTCATTGAGGTCATTGAAACTGGGCCCAGAGGAGACGCAATTTACTTTTATAATAAGGAAGTTAAGATGTAGCAAGAGACTAAAGAGAGTTGGAAAGATATCTGCCACCTACATTCAATATTTTTTTCTGTTTGACATTATTCTATTTTGTTATTAATAAGATAACAAATCTTTGTAAAACAAACCCTTTCCTTGTTTCTTTCTTTCTACAATATCTACTTTCAGATTAAATTGGTAATAACTTAATCTGGCTCTCCTGTAGAATCTGTCTTTACAATTTTAATGGTTTTTATTTTTTAAGCGCTCTATTACATTTGACCTTGTTTTGAAATCTGTTTCTTTTGTTTTGTTGGGGGAGAATGCTGAGAATGTTGTATTCCCTTAGAAAGAAATCCTCAATCATAGTAACAGTTTTAATAAGATCACATATCTGCCTGTTGTTCTACCAAATGAAATTTCCATCACTTTAACAATAGTTGTCATTTCAAGATGTGTGTAAGAAGATTGAAGAAAACCCCTGATATGATTTGACTCTGTGTCCCCATCCAAACAGCAGGTTCCCCTCATGCTGTTCTCATGATAGTGAGTGAGTTCTCACAAGATCTGATGGTTTTGTAAGGGGTTTCCCCCTTCACTCAGCTCTCGTTCTCTCTCCTACCACCCTATGAAGAGGTGCATTCTGCCATGGTTGTAAGTTTCCTGAGGCCTCCCCAGCCATGTGGGACTGTGAGTCAATTAAACCTCTTTTCTTTATAAATTAGCCAGTCTCAGATATTTCTTTATTTTTTTTTGCATTAGTTGAAACATAAAAACTAGTTTAATAGCTTATTTTAAAAGTAACATTGCAGTACATGATAATCATTATATGAAATAATTACATGTTTATAATATAATGATTTTCTTATGATCATTTTCTTATAATGACTGAATGCTAAAGACACAGTAACTGAAAAAACTTACCTATTATACTCCCTTTGACTTAGTATTTAGCATTGAATACAAAAGTTCCAATAGCTTCCATGTAATTAGGGAAAAAATTTACAAATGCATAAAATAGAAACCAAGGTGAATTCTCATGCTGGCAATCAAATAAAGGCTTTTTACTTAATCCAAATGAAAAAGTCCCTTCCTCAAATTATAGAAACTAAATATTACAAAGTATAAAATTATAAGTTTCTGGTGAGATATTTTAAAGAATCTTTATCTTGAATAGTAGAGAACTGTATAAAAGGTGTTAAAATTTCCATATTGGAAACTGTTTAAAAACAATGAATATCAAACTAACCAAAACCATTAGCAGTAGATGCATTATAGGTCAATTTATAGTTTTCCTCAACATTGAGAGCAAGAGAAAACAGCCTTAAAATATACAACGTTTAGACAATTGCAATATTTAAGAAATATATATACAATTTATAAAGATTTACAGCATAATTCTTTTTTAAAATCTAATGTCAGTAAGAATTATGCACTGGTGATAAAATGAATAAGAAAAGAGGGGGCCAGGCATGGTGGCTCACGCCTGTAATCCCAGCACTTTGGGAGGCTGAGGTAGGCAGATCACAAGGTCAAGAGATTGAGACCATCCTGACCAACATGGTGAAACCCCGTCTCTACTAAAAAAAAAATACAAAAATCAGCTGGATGTGGTGGTGCACACCTGTAGTCCCAGCTACTCGGGAGGCTGAGGCAGGAGAATCACTTGAACCCAGGAGGTGGAGGTTGCAGTGAGCCAAGGTCATGCCACTGCACTCCAGTCTGGCAACACAGCGACGCTCCATCTCAAAATAAAAAGAAAAAGAAAAAAAAGAAAGAAAAGAACAATTATAATACCAACCATTGACAAAATGACACTACAGAAAATAAATAACCTACAGGTTTCACTGGTATTCCTTGACCATACAGATTAATCTGAAAATCCTAATAATGGAACATCCTTCAAACTAGAAAACATTTTGCAAAATATTTATGCTTCACTTTAAAACACGAATATCCTAAATTATTTATACCATCTTATCACTAAGGCCCTGTCTACATATAAAATAAGTAAAATGAGGAATTGAAATACTGTTTTTAATTGTAGCTAACCCAAGTACAGTGCTCTCCACCTGCCACCCCCACCCCAACAAAGTGTGTGTGTGTGACTTATCAGCTTTAATTTCTACCCTAGGGGAAATTAATTAAAACTACAAACCAGAAAATAGCTTTAACTAGGTTTTTTGATTTGTATTGGTTTTTAAGTGTTATAAAAACAAAGTGGATAAAGAAACAAAGTATCTTTTTATCAACACATTTGGAATAAAAACTGTATGGTGAGTTTGCGGTTTACATTAGCTATTCAAACTCTTTGATAATTGATCCTTCAATTACTATTGGTAATCCAAAAGAATTCAACCAAAGACAAAGAAATGCCTTGTTTAATGCCTCTTAAATATTTCGAGTTGAAGTAAAACTTTAATTTGCTGCTAGGTATGTTAGTGTATAGATTGAAAAAAACATGAGGGAACAAAGAAAAGTACACTGGGATTATTATTTTAGTTTTCCTTTGGTATTAAGAGAAACAGTATCTCTATCAAATCTATTCTGTTACTTTTCTTAAAAAATATCAATAATTTGGCCAGGTGCGGTGGCTCATGCCTGTACTCCCAGCACTTTGGGAGGCCAAGGCGGGTGGATCACGAGGTCAGGAGATTGAGACCATCCTGGCTAACATGGTGAAACCCCGTCTCTACTAAAAATACAAAAAATTAGCTGGGCGTGGTGGCGGGTGCCTGTAGTTCCAGCTACTTGGGAGGCTGAGGCAGGAGAATGGCGTGAACCCAGGAGGCGGAGCTTGCAGTGAACCGAGATTGCGCCACCACACTCCAGCATGACAGAGCGAGACTCCATCTAAAAAAAAAAAATTATCAGTAATTTAATGATATTTCTTAAGAAGAGTGAGAATATGACAACAGCTGACACCTGCTTTGTATATTAAGAAAAATATGGTTAAAACATTTTACTTCCCATAATGATTTACCTATCATAATGATTTACTTTCCTGGAAAACTGAACCATTACATCATTTAAATCTGATAATGGATTAAGGACATCAGACTTTGTTTTCCAATTTTTTCTTTTATGGGAGTATAAATATGGGGACATGACTATGGGACTATATATTTTCACATTGTTAGTGCATAGTTAATACAGTTACTTTTAGGTATTGTCTTTTAGTAGCATTATTAAAGTTAAAAAATAAAGGAAACAGAAGTAAAGAGTTTATAGAAGGATACATAGAAACACAGTACTTATCTCTGAGTGGAGACATTGGAATAGGTTTTTCATTCTATCCTTTTTACTTTATACATTGTTTATATAACAAATATCATTCAAGAGCAATGAAGATAGCTATGTAATGCTATGGTGCTAACTTACCTTAGCATACAACCATCTTGATAATAAATAATGGTCAAATGGCCAAACCTACGAATCCACAGAGATCACTTAAATACCTAAAATGATTATGGATCAGACATACAAAATACCAAATATAGGATACAGAAAAAACAACAACAACAACAACAACAAAAATTTCCCATGACTGAAGCCAAGGCTTTAAAGAAGACACACTTTCTTAGGTATTTTCAACTAAATGTTATCCACCTCAAAAGTGTTTAAGCCCATGGAATGTCCATAGATTCCAGAAAATTTGTGCAATTCTGCTTTTTTTTTCTGAGATGAGGTCTTGCTATATTGCCCAGGCTGGCTGAACATCTCGATTCTCCCACCTCAGCCTCCCTTATAACTGGGATTACAGGCACATACCACTGTGCCCAGCTTAATTCTGCTTTTCATATAATACTTCCCACTAGGCATAATCTAACTGCAGTGTGGGTCATCTTAATATAAATCAGTAATCTAAAAACATTTTAAACAACTAATTTGGTGCCATCCTAGAAAAGCATGCATAGTAACACAAACCCCAGAATATATGCCTCTGATTTACATTACAAAATTTAACCAATTAGCTTTTCTATTTAATGCTTTAAAATAAAATGAGGAATAATTTGAAAATTGAATAAACCTAGAAAAATTGTAGCATTCCATATGTAATCCTAATTTACAAAAATTGTGGGTAAAACAGGTTTTACTTTTATATACCATGCTACCATACCTAAATAAAATCCATACAACCATTTTGAGAGTATTTATATTGTGGTTTATGAAGTATGTATATCAAGAAAATGAGAAACTATCACCTATTTTGACTAGTATGCTTTAACAAAAAAAAATTTTTCTTACCCTAAATGGCCGTAAAATTCCTTTATGTTCATATCATAAATTTTATTAGGCCAAGAAGCTAACTAGTTTGTTCAAAGTAATGATGAAAAGGTTAGGGAAACAAAAGACAGTTATCAATAGCAGCTTTTAAAGAAGCTTCTCTTTGTTCAAGGAAACATTTTAATGTCCAATGTAATGAGAACTTTCTTCCTTTTCTAGTCTTAGAGTGTTTCTTATGGTAAAGTCCATATTTTCTTGAAACTCTTTATATGTATTGGTGATTGGAATTGCTAAACAGTTATCACACTTGTTTCCAACAGGAAAATCCACATGCAAACACTCAATTGAAGGAGTGGGTTTAAATCCAGCTGGAGGAATGGAACTGCAACCAGTCGCAAAAATAAGAATATTGGCCAGGCACGGTGGCTCACGCCTGTAATCCCAGCACTTTGGGAGGCCGAGGCAGGCAGATCACGAGGTCAGGAGATCGAGACCATCCTGGCTAACACGGTGAAACCCCGTCTCTACTAAAATACAAAAAATTAGCCGGGCGTGGTGGCAGGCACCTGTAGTCGCAGCTACTCGGGAGGCTGAGGCAGGAGAATGGCGTGAACCTGGGAGGCAGAGCTTGCAGTGAGCCGAGATCCTGCCACTGCACTTCAGCCTGGGTGACAGAGCGAGACTCCATCTCAAAAAAAAAAATAATAATATCTTCCATTGTTGTTGTAGATTTACCATCTTCAACAGCCTATGAGTAACTGTTCCAAAACCCCAAAGCTTTTACATCAGGTAATGTGTGTACTGTAAAAAGATCACTAAGGATTTTTGCAGAAAGACTCTCAGGTTTACGACACAGGATGCTACAAAATGCTTCTGGTTAAGCCTGAATTTTCTCCAAAACACCAGGTTTTCAGACCCTACTTAAAACTTTCAAAGGGTGCTTAGACTCTGAATTACATGGTAGACAAGTATGTCTTTTACCACCATATATTTATCACTTAATGTCGTTATAAATCTGAGATATCCAATTAACTCAGGGTAGTTATAGCATTCATTTATTACTGACTTTAAGTCAGTAATTTGTCCTGATTGTTTTGTTGTTGCAGTATTTATCCTGATTATAATCTGTGCCACAACAAAGTCTGAAACATCATCTAAAATTGGCTGGGTATTTTTTGGTCCATAAACAAGGCAGTTAAACAAGGTTTTAGAAAAGAAACCAGGTGAAGGACCACCATGAACTAAATAAATGGCAAGCATTTTGCCAGCTTCATAGTAAAGATTCCCTTTCAGAGCTTGAGAATTTAGAGATAAGTTCTTTGACAAGGACCCTTCAAACAACGATGAGTTCTCAAGATGTTGCATTAAGACACTCAGAAATTCTTGCTTTGATCCAGGATGTCCACTTCCAAAATTATCATTTTCAATAACGTATGCTACTTCAATTGCATATGAAGGATTAAAGTTTTGATTTCTGAATCCATCTAAGGCACGATTCCAGATATTGGCTTTGTTGATACATAATCTTGTAGTTTTTTTTTAAATTTGGAATCCTAACTCATTAATAGTGTTGATACATTCCTTCTAAATTTGCTGCCTTTCCTCAGTAGATCTTTACTCTGGAATACAGGTGACTGTCTGGGTAATTTAGGTGATGACTCTTCCAACAATCTGTAATCCCCACATTATTAGAGTTGGATAATACATGTTTTTGGCTTTTTGGAACACTCCTGAACTGTAGATAATACCCCTACATTCCAAAAACTCCCAATTTTGTTCCCATGACCGTAGTGAAGAGCAGGCTAAGTGTGTGTCACTGGAACCACAACACTGACAGCGCTTTATTTCCCATTTGCTATCAGGTACATTATAGTCTCACCCTTCTTTGCAATGACATCTTTGAACATCACAATGCTCATAGTGCTGCAGAAGCTCTTGATAAGCATTTTCCTCTAATTCTCAGGATGCATCTTTTTCAGGAATATGAATTCCCATTCTCAACATCTCTTTCTGAAAGATGTCACTATTATTGCATATTGTACACCTAAAGAAAAACACTCCTGCATTTATTGCTTGAACCTGTAAACAGTCTCTATGAAACCAAGCGTTCTTACAACAAGCACTTTGTAATATGTTATAACTTAGAATAGGCTCAATAAATTCTGAGCAAATGGTGCATGGTAAGGAGTCTCTATAATTATTAGATGTAATTATTTGAACAGGTCGATGGTTCCAACAAAATGATGTGAAATTGCCAGTAAACTGGAAAATACATTCTCTCTGAAGTCCACATGGGAAATAACTTCGTTTACATTAGGGTGCAACACATCCAACTGAAGCACCATTTTTCTTGCAAAGACAGCATTTCAGTTTAGAAACTCTATTCACTTCCTTCCTGGTATCTTCTAATAGAAAACCACAAACTCCTTCTTTACCTCTCTGCCAAATTCCACTTGACATCAACAAAGAATAATAATGTACGGTGAGATTCCATTTCTCCTTAGTTTTCTTTTCTCCATATTTATTAGGACACTCATCCTTTTTTCGACAGAAAACACAAGCCACCTACTATTCCCCACTGCCCAGCTGGGCAGTGGTCTTGGGGTGGCCCATGTTCCTGGTCCAGATTACTGGTCCAAGAGGGGTTAAAATGGACCTTGTTCAAGGTTCTGTGAGTCACCAGGTTTATTTTCATTCATTTTACAAAGCGCGCTGGGCAGAAGTTCCAGAGCGTCAGTGTCGCTTTTCCCGGCCCACTCTGCACCGCAGCATGCTGACCATGCACGGCCACATTCAACCTCAGGTATTTCTTCATAGCAGTGTGAGAACAGACTAATACAACCCCACACTTTTAAGAGTAGGCAGAGAGGTAATGAAAAATGATGTCTCATGTTTGCTTCTTTTAACTTCGTAAAATTCACAATAATGATGTTTTTGGCTGGAAATGATAGATTTCTCCCTTTGTTCATTCATTATTTCATTTAACAAACACCTACGTGGTATTTGTTAAGTATTAACTCCTTTATTCTTCATCACAATTTTTTTTTCTTTTTTTTTTTTTTGAGATGGGGTCTCTTCTGTCGCCAGGCTGGAGTGCAGTGGCGATCTTGTCTCACTGCAACCTCCGACTCCCGGGTTCAAACAATTCTCCTGCCTCAGCCTCCCAAGTAGCTGGGATTACAGGCACCTGCCACCACGCCCAGCTAATTTTTTTTGTATTTTTAGTAGAGACGGGGTTTCACCATGTTGGCCAGGATGGTCTCGATCTCCTGACCTCCATCACAATTTTTTGAGGTAAGTACTATTATTATCCACATTTGATAGATGAGGAAACTGAAGTATAGAGAAGTTAAGTAACTTGCCTGGGATCATATGGCTAGTAAGTGGCAGAGCTGGGATTTGAACTCACGCTGTTTGGCTCCACTAGTTTATCCTCTTCTCTTTTCTATGTATGTGTCCCCTTTAGTCACTTCACTAGAATAGTTACTTCTAACATAAAGGTACTTGGTAAAAAGTTGATTTAAAAGACTTAGCCCTCTTTTATAAAATTTTAAAATTTAATTATAGGTGGATCAGACATATATGTGAAAAGATACTACCAAAAAAAGGTAAGAAAAAAAAGAAACAAAAATCCATTTTTAAAGATTGAAGGAGTGGTATAGAAGTTTTATTTTCCCTCGTTCATTTTCTTTACTTCAAGTATGATTTACTTTGTATAGCCTTTGTAAGAGGGATGGAGGAGAGAAGTGGTGATGGCAAGTAACTTTAGATGTTATAACAACAAAGGGTCACATATTAAAATTTGGCTTTAAATTTTCCATGGTATGCCATAAGCTTCTATTTGTTATATTTGCTATAGATTTTTAAAGTTTATTTTTCCGTGCTTGGGCTTGGCAAATATGATCACAATAACCATACTACTATTCATTTAATAATAAAATGAGTTTTGGGAACAATAATTGTAATGGTTGATCTTCTTGAGTAGCCATCACTCTTTGTTCTCAAAACCACCATTTTAAAACACGCCTAATTCTTTGAGTGCCTTGGCTCTTCAGGTGACACTTATTAAGATTACATTTAAAAATCTGAGCTCATTTCCAACTTCTATTATTCCTTTTTCTTTTTTTTTTATTATACTTTAAGTTTTAGGGTACATGTGCACAACGTGCAGGTTAGTTACATATGTATACATATGCCATGTTGGTGAGCTGCTGCACCCATTAACTCGTCATTTAACATTAGGTATATCTCCTAATGCTCTCCCTCCTCCCTCCCCCCACCCCACAACAGGCCCCAGTGTGCGATGTTCCCCTTCCTGTGTCCATGTGTTCTCATTGTTCAGTTCCCACCTGTGAGTGAGAACATGCGGTGTTTGGTTTTTTGTCCTTGCGATAGTTTGCTGAGAATGATGGTTTCCAGCTTCATCCATGTCCCTACAAAGGACACGAGCTCATCCTTTTTATGGCTGCATAGTATTCCATGGTGTATATGTGCCACATTTTCTTAATCCAGTCTATCATTGTTGGACATTTGGGTTGGTTCCAGGTCTTTGCTATTGTGAATAGTGCCGCAATAAACATACATGTGCATGTGTCTTTATAGCAGCATGATTTATAATCCTTTGGGTATATACCCAGTAATGGGATGGCTGGGTCAAATGGGATTTCTAGTTCTAGATCCCTGAGGAATCACCACACTGACTTCCACAATGGTTGAACTAGTTTACAGTCCTGCCAACAGTGTAAAACTGTTCCTATTTCTCCACATCCTCTCCAGCACCTGTTGTTTCCTGACTTTTTAATGATCGCCATTCTAACTATTCCTTTTTCTAAAACACACACACACATACACACGCACACCCTAATGCCTACATAATTAAGGTAGTTTTAGACCTCTGAGTTACTTCACAGAATCTTGATTAAGTGGACAAACCTGCATGTTCTACTCACCCTAGGGGTTATTGCATAGTTTTTTTTTTTTAATTTCAACTTTTATTTAGATTCATGGGATATCTGTCTATATCCATTTGTTACATGGATATAGTTTGGGATGCTGAGGTTTGAGGTACAAATGATCCCATCACCCAGGTAGTCAGCATAGTACCCAATAGGTAGTTTTTCAACCCTCACCCTGCTTTCCCACTGCCAACTAGTAGTCTTCAGTGTCTATTGTTCCCATCTTTATGTCCATGTGTATCCAATGCTTAGCTCCCACTATAAGTGAGAATATGTGGTATTTGGTTTTCTGTTCCTGCATTAACTTGCTTAGGCTAATGGCTTCCAGCTGCATCCATGTTGCTGCAAAAGACATGATTTCATTCTTTTTTATGGCTGCATAGTATTCTGTGGTATATATATATACCGCATTTTCTTTATCCAATTCACCACTGATGGACACCTAGTGATGGTAGTGGGAGGCCATCTGGAGTGGCTGCTGCCATAATGCCAGCTGCAGGAGGAAGGTGTGGCTGAGGCTGCATGCTCCATGGAGCCGGTGGGAGCTGGGGACAAGTGGGAGCCCTGCCCCTTCTGAGTTGGGGTGAGAGCTCCTTGGGTGCCTCTGCAAACGCCCAAGCCATGGCTGCAGATCTGAGCATCCCTGTGCTCTCGCAGCCTGTGAGCAGGCAGGGGCCCCACCTTCCCAGGCACAGCTGCAGCCACCCAAGCTGTGGCTGTGGAACTGAGCCTCCTGCTCCACAGAGCAGGCAAGAGGCAGGAGACCCATTCTCCTGAGCATGGCCACAGCCGCTCAAACCGTGGCTGCAGACCTGGGCCTCCTGCTCCCTGGAGCAGGCAGAATGCCCCCCTCCACTAATTGTGCAGCTGCAGCCATCCAAACCACAGCTGTGGACCCAGGCATCCTGAATTCCTGGGGGCCCAGGAAGCCCCCACCATCCTCACAGGCTCAGAAGTGCTTGCTCCTGCTGCCTGGCTTCTCCCTGCTGTCAGCACCTGCTCCTATCTTGGAGCAAAGTTGGGGCCAAGCCTGGGCGCTATTGCAGCCCGGCTGGGAGTATAAACACTTGGAGCAGTGCTGACATGCCAGCCCCTGCTGCTTTGGCCCCCTCTGGACTTTGGACTCTGATGAGCATAGGAGGAAAGCCAATGGGGTGCTGAGGGCAGCTCAGAACTGGCCTATGGGCACCCCTTGACAGCTACAGCCTGAGCACCATGAATGGCAGCAGGAGGCAGACAGGTTCCTGGGCTGAATGGGGTGGATCCCCAGTGAGGCCCCACCTTCAGGCTAGGGAGGGCCTGAAGGCTGGGGGTTGGGCTGCCAATCCCATGGACAGGAGTGGGAACTTATGGCACCTTTTGCAGGCCTGCTCATGGCTACCTATGGATCAATCAGCATGCACTTCCTGCCTTCTGAGACCCATAAAAGCCCCAGGCTCAGCCAGACCTGAGCAGACATTGGGGTGACCAGCTGCAGAAAGGAGCTACCCTCTGCTGATAGCTGAATACTTGTTGGGACAACTTGCCTAGCAGAGAGGAGCTACCCTCTTTCCTAGAAGCTGAACACTCATTGGTAACACAGGAATTATTAAGAAATTGTTTTTAGGCAGCTAGAAAGGGTAAAAGAGTTCTCAGTGGAATTTTCCTTTAATAAAAAGCAGCCCCAAACCGTTTCTTCTCTAACAGAAAGCAGCCTGAAGAGTCAGGCATAGATATGCAAATTAGGAGCTTTTATATGTAAATGCTGGCAGCTGTACCTGGAAGCCAGATACATTCGATATGGCATCTCCCACCCTCTTTTCCTTGTCACCACGTGTGCCAGTGTCATGACAACTTCCAGGTAAAACCACGTGTACAGGCATGATGGCCACCACCAGGTAGAGGCCCTATTTGCATAATAAAAGACTAGGGTGGGAGGGTCAGTTTTTTCATGGGCTATGTAAATGGCACACCTGGTCAAATCTATCCTCTAAGCCCTACATAAATCAATCACTGCTTCCTCAAGCTTCTGTACAAAATCGATTGCATTCCGCCCCAAATCAGAGAACCTTTCTTGGGCAACCTGCTTTCTCAGCATGAGGAAGCCTTTTCTCTTTCTCTTCTTTTTCTATTAAACTTTCCACTCCTGAGCCCACTCCCCGTGTGTGTCTGTGTCCTGAATTCTTTCTTGACTGTGACAAAGAACCAGGGTACATACCCCAGACAATGGAGCCATTTCACTGGGACATACTGCCTGTGGAAAGGAGCTGCCCCCTGCAGTCTCCCCTGAACTGTTCTATCGCTCAATAAAGCTCCTCTTCATCTTGCTCACCCTCCACTTGTCTGCATACCTCATTCTTCCTGGTCTCAGGACTCATGAATAGTAAGGCTAAAAGAGCTGTAACACAAACAGGGCTGAGACATGCCCCTTGCTCGCCACGTTGCAGGCAAAGAGAAGGAAAGAAGAGCTGTGGCCCTTCGGGGATCCCAGACCTGGGAGTTCCCCGAGCCAGGGCTGTGACTCCCAAAGAGGGAGTCCTGCAGTTCCTGGTGTCTCCAAACTTCTGGGCACCACTGTGTTCCCCATTGCCGGCCATAGAAGCTGCTTGCGGTGTTTCTGGTCCTGCTGTAGCCTCACAGATAGCCAGCATCTGTCCCGGCACCTGGAGCTGCCCGCCCTGCTACGGCATCCAGCATGTCTGATTGTGCGCAGTGGCCAGACCCCATGCGTGCTCACACAGCCCTCACCGTTCCACGTCTGACTCACCCTTGACAGGTGTGGGACCCAGGCTGGTAGCATGAGCTGAGTACAGCCTGCCAGGCCGAGTGGGCAAAATGAGCCCAGTGGGCCCAGGCAAAACTCAGATGAAGGTGCCACTGGCCACAGAGGTTTCCAGCCAGAAAAACAACACCCCAAGGATCCTGTAACACTAGGTAGATTCCATGTCTTTCCTATTGTGAATAGTGCTATGATGAACATGAGAGTGCATGTATCTTTTGGTAGAATGGCTTTTTTCCTTTGGGTGTATACCCAGTCATGGGATTGCTGGGTTGCATGGTAGTTCTATTTTTAGTTATTTCACTAATCCTCAGAGAAATGCAAATCAAAACCATAATGAGACACCCTCCCACACCAGTCAGAATGGCTATTATTAAAAAGTCAGAAAATAACAGATGTTGGCGAGGCTGCAAGGAAAATGGAATGCTTATACACTATTGGTGGGAATGTAATTTAGTTCAGCCACTGTGGAAGCAGCTGGAGATTTATTGCATAGCTTGAAGCAGGGTTTGTTAAAGCAAGGTCAGGAACTGCCTGCAATGGAATCATGTGTAATACCTAGTAAAAAGGCAGATTGCTGGACCCACTGTAGGCATGCCGAATCAAAATTTCTGGGATTGAGACCTGGGAATCTGAATCTTGAACACACATCCTAGGAGATTCATATGCACACTCAAATTTGAGAATTGCTGTTTTAGTTATACTTTTGGGAGAGTTTCTGTAACCGATGAATTTAAATTGGGGCTTCACAAGAAAAATACTCTGGCTTTAAACTGAGCAATGCTGTTATGTTAGCACCAACCATTTTATTAGTTATGATAATAAACAAGTAATTATAGAGGGCCTAAATTGAATCTGCCCAATGTGTATTTTTGAACAATGGCCAGAAACAAGTCTTAAGAATATTGTGCAAAGTTAACTGGAAAGAGGGGAGACCTTGTGGTTTAAAACCAGAAATATGGGGTTAAGGGGCAAAATTTGGGGGTAACTATTAAAAGGAAGGGCCAAATCCTCAAACTCTGAAAGAAAAATAATATAAACTAGTGAAAAGCGAAAACCTCAGTTAAATTACTTAGCTGTGACACTCATAAGGGCAGAGGCTATAAGTGATTCAGTGCTGCACTCCCTGTACCAAACGATGGCATTTTTCTTAAGATTCCCTTTTAAAAATATGATGGAAACTATGGACCCTACTGAAGGCTAAAAATAGGTACTTAATACATGTTTGTGAGATTAAATTAAATTGTTTACATAGTGTTATGCCTGGTTTCTTCCCTTCACTGAATGTCTTGGCTAGTGTTCTTAACTTTGACACAAGTATAGACCCATTTGCTAGAAAAACAAGTTCAGGTTTCCTGTTTTATGGTAGATGTACCTGATAGCAGTAACTTAACTTAAGCATATCCTGAGAATGACCCTGTATGGCAGACCCACCTGAATGCGTGCTTGGAGTTTGGAGCTAAGGAATATGGGAGTGGCCAACATGGAGATTCATTCCTTATGTATGAGAAACATCTAAACCCATAGCCCGTCCTGTGGATTGTGGGCCATACAGGGGATCAAGGCCTGTTGTTTTGGGTTAAATGAGGTTTGCCAGGTAAGGCTTGTTAGGGGGAGGTGGTTAAGTGAAAATGCTATATAAATATAACTGCATGCCTTTTGCAAATGGTTGCAGTTCTCCTGATCAGCCGAACACCACTGAACTCTCTCCCCTGTATGTAATTTCCCCAGTAAAATTCCATGACTCATTTGCCGATCCTGGGTCTCTACCTGAATCTGGTGCCATCCCCACTGGAGTAAATAGGGGTTTGGCACAACACGTATTTAGGGTAAAAAGACCTATTGTACTGAACTTCCCTTTCTCCCAATCTTTTACTGAATTAATAGAAAAGATGTTAAAATAAGAATTAAATCATAACAGTGCTAGAGAGAACATCAGCAGGTCAGATATTTTGAGAAATTCTTCAAAGATAAGCAGATGTGATCAAACCAATGAAGAAGTGAAAACAGAGGAATTGAAGTCACTAGAGATGAATGTGGTTCTTCCCAAGGGAGCCGTAGGGAAGCTAGGAACTTGGCTCATCCATACAACATTAGGGAACTATGGAATACTTGTCAGGGTAACGCATTAAAGGGTGCATTCCCTATCAGCTGGTCATCCCCCACCTTCCTCCATAGACACAGGGTGGCCTCCTTCAAGATAAAATCTGGAGGAGTGCTCTCTGTGGAAAGGGGGTGCGGTTTTAGGGGGAGGCCTCCTAGTATGGCTGCTGTGCCTTGAAGGGGAAGCAGAGCAGACATTGTGGGACTCATATCACAGACGTGGAAGGGAAATTTTAAAAGGTTACAATCACTCTGCCCAGGAGATATTTACACAGAAACACTCACCTCAGCCATGAGTAAATTCCTTTTATTTTTTGATATGTTCCCAGCTGCCATACCACTTCCCTGCTCACAAACGCTACAGGGCACCTGCTGCTGTAACTCCTGCCCTTATATGGAACCTCAAACCTGCTCTTTCCAATCAAGTGAGAGTATCCACTTCAGACAATGGTCTTGTGCCTCCTTTAGACTAACACTTCCACAGATAACTGTACACTTTGGGCAAAATATAGAATACAGCTAGTTGAAAGTAGTTGAAAGCAATTGAAAGAAGGGGCAAGGAGTCAACATTTGAAAAAAGGGAATGGCGCTAGGTGAGTTTTTTTAATTTTTTTGTTTATTGTTATTTTTTTAAGGCTTTTGGCCTGAGGGCAGGCTCATCTGTGTCATGCAGGGGTAAAGGGTGGGGGTGGATGGCTAAAAACCCAGGTAAAAAAAAAATCCATCGTCTTGCTGGCTTGAAATACCAGAGGACAGAGTTTGGGGGCATTCATCACCTCTGAAAAGTGAGAAGGAAATTCCCCAAAATTGAAAGCCAAAGAAGGGGAACCCCATACTGTGCATATAAATTCTGCCCAAATGCTGTGGCTGACCTCCACACTTTGAACTAACCATACACAGGGAAGATTCCAAGCAGCCTAAATGAAGACTAAAAGAATTGGACTGAGATTTGAGTTACTGCTCATTACAGTTTTTCAGCCAATTTAACTGCCTGCTTTAAAAAAAAGTTTTTAGAGGAACATAATAGAATAGCATCCAGAGTCTTTACAATATATTATTCCAATGTCTAAGACAAAATCCAAAATTGGTCTACATAAAAGGAAACAGAAAAACAGAACCCATATAGGAAAGGACAACAAAGACTGGTCTTGAAATGACTAAGATATTGCAATTAGCATGTGAGAATTTTAAAGCAGCTATTCAAGAAGAACTTTTCTTGGGGAAACACATACATGGCTAAAACGAAAACCAACACTAACCATCTCTATTAATCCTCCAAGCTCTTCATTTGTGGATTATGATTTACAAGAATTTGAGAAAAAAACCATAGCATTAAACACAAGGTCCAAGATTAATAAACCCAAAAAACTGAGCCCAGAGAAAACAGATAATTTAGGGAGCAGAGGAGAACTTGAAAAAATTATTAGTATCCTTAAAGATTTTCAAGAGGAGATTGCACTGATAAAATAATGAGGCTGCCAGGTGTGGTGGCATGTGCCTGTAATCTCAGCTGTTTGGGAGGCTGAGGCAGGAGGATCCCTTGAGCCTAGGAGTTTGAGGCTGCAGTGAGCTGTGATACTGCCATTGCACTCCAGCTGGGGCAACAGAGTGAGACCCCATTTCTGAAAACAGACAAACAAAAAACAGCTACGGTGAAAAAAAGAACAGTCAGTAAATACCAAAGAAAAGAATACTCGTAAGTAAAACAGGAATAATGGATTTGCTGACGACCAAGTTGATGTTCTGGAAAACGAAATTTACTGGAATGTAGAGAAATAAAATAAATGGTGGAAAATATGAGAGAAAACTCAAGGCATGGAGGATAGACCCAAGAAATTCAAGTTCCAGAACACAATTTTTCTTAGTTGGAGAAAGACAAGTGTCTTTAGATGGAAAAAAATCATATCAGCCATACAGAATTAGACAGAAAACAAACAAAAACCCAAAATACCCATGCCTAAACACAACCTGGTGAAATTTCAGAACTCTAAGCTAAAGAGAATATCTTAAAAGAATTAGAAAAAGCAAAACAGATTACTTACATTGGAATGAGAATCAGACTGATAGACTTCTCATCAGCAATCCTGTATGCTGGAAGACAGCAGAATACCGCCTTCAAAGTTTTGGTAGAAAATGATTTTCAGGGGGAGGAGCCAAGATGGCCGAATAGGAACAGCTCCCGTCTACAGCTCCCAGCGTGAGCGACGCAGAATACGGGTGATTTCTGCATTTCCATCTGAGGTACCGGGTTCATCTCCTAGGGAGTGCCAGACAGTGGGCGCAGGCCAGTGGGTGCGCGCACCGTGCGCGAACCGAAGCAGGGCGAGGGCCTCACTCGGGAAGCGCAAGGGGTCAGGGAGTTCCCTTTCCTAGTCAAAGAAAGGGGTGACGGACGCACCTGGAAAATTGGGTCACTCCCACCCGAATACTGCGCTTTTCCGACAGGCTTAAAACACGGCGCACCACGAGATTATAACCCGCACCTGGCTCGGAGGGTCCTACGCCCGCCCACGGAGTCTCGCTGATTGCTAGCACAGCAGTCTAAGATCAAACTGCAAGGCGGCAGCGAGGCTGGGGGAGGGGCGCCCGCCATTGCCCAGGCTTGCTTAGGTAAACAAAGCAGCAGGGAAGCTCGAACTGGGTGGAGCCCACCACAGCTCAAGGAGGCCTGCCTGCCTCTGTAGGCTCCACCTCTGGGGCCAGGGCACAGACAAACAAAAAGACAGCAGTAACCTCTGCAGACTTAAATGTCCCTGTCTGACAGCTTTGAAGAGAGCAGTGGTTCTCCCAGCACGCAGCTGGAGATCTGAGAACGGGCAGACTGCCTCCTCAAGTGGGTCCCTGACCCCTGACCCCCAAGCAGCCTAACTGGGAGGCACCCCCCAGCAGGGACACACTGACACCTCACACGGCAGGGTATTCCAACAGACCTGCAGCTGAGGGTCCTGTCTGTTAGAAGGAAAACTAACAAACAGAAAGGACATCCACACCAAAAACCCATCTGTACATCACCATCATCAAAGACCAAAAGTAGATAAAACCACAAAGATGGGGAAAAAACAGAACAGAAAAACTGGAAACTCTAAAAAGCAGAGCGGCTCTCCTCCTCCAAAGGAACGCAGTTCCTCACCAGCAACGGAACAAAGCTGGATGGAGAATGACTTTGACGAGCTGAGAGAAGAAGGCTTCAGAAGATCAAATTACCCTGAGCTACGGAAGGACATTCAGACCAAAGGCAAAGAAGTTGAAAACTTTGAAAAAAATTTAGAAGAATGTATAACTAGAATAACCAATACAGAGAAGTGCTTAAAGGAGCTGATGGAGCTGAAAACCAAGGCTCGAGAACTACGTGAAGAATGCAGAAGCCTCAGGAGCTGATGCGATCAACTGGAAGAAAGGGTATCAGCAATGGAAGATGAAATGAATGAAATGAAGTGAGAAGGGAAGTTTAGAGAAAAAAGAATAAAAAGAAATGAGCAAAGACTCCAAGAAATATGGGACTATGTGAAAAGACCAAATCTACGTCTGACTGGTGTACCTGCAAGTGATGGGGAGAATGGAACCAAGTTGGAAAACACTCTGCAGGATATTATCCAGGAGAACTTCCCCAATCTAGCAAGGCAGGCCAACATTCAGATTCAGGAAATACAGAGAACGCCACAAAGATACTCCTCGAGAAGAGCAACTCCAAGACACATAATTGTCAGATTCACCAAAGTTGAAATGAAGGAAAAAATGTTAAGGGCAGCCAGAGAGAAAGGTCGGGTTACCCTCAAAGGGAAGCCCATCAGACTAACAGCGGATCTCTCGGCAGAAACCCTACAAGCCAGAAGAGAGTGGGGGCCAATATTCAACATTCTTAAAGAAAAGAATTTTCAACCCAGAATTTCATATCCAGCCAAACTAAGCTTCATAAGTGAAGGAGAAATAAAATACTTTACAGACAAGCAAATGCTGAGAGATTTTGTCACCACCAGGCCTGCCCTAAAAGAGCTCCTGAAGGAAGTGCTAAACATGGAAAGGAACAACCGGTACCAGCCGCTGCAAAATCATGCCAAAATGTAAAGACCATCGAGACTAGGAAGAAACTGCATCAACTAACGAGCAAAATCACCAGCTAACATCATAATGACAGGATCAGATTCACACATAACAATATTAACTTTAAATGTAAATGGACTAAATGCTCCAATTAAAAGACACAGACTGGCAAATTGGATAAAGAGTCAAGACCCATCAGTGTGCTGTGTTCAGGAAATCCATCTCACGTGCAGAGACACACATAGGCTCAAAATAAAAGGATGGAGGAAGATCTACCAAGCAAATGGAAAACAAAAAAAGGCAGGGGTTGCAATCCTAGTCTCTGATAAAACAGACTTTAAACCAACAAAGATCAAAAGAGACCAAGAAGGCCATTACATAATGGTAAAGGGATCAATTCAACAACAAGAGCTAACTATCCTAAATATATATGCACCCAATACAGGAGCACCCAGATTCATAAAGCAAGTCCTGAGTGACCTACAAAGAGA
Organism: Homo sapiens; assembly: GCF_000001405.40. Lineage (NCBI taxonomy): Eukaryota > Metazoa > Chordata > Mammalia > Primates > Hominidae > Homo > Homo sapiens. The sequence continues at coordinate 132,374,872 of NC_000003.12, read as the reverse complement.
CTTAGACTCCCACACATTAATAATGGGAGACTTTAACACCCCACTGTCAACATTAGACAGATCAACGAGACAGAAAGTCAACAAGGATACCCAGGAATTGAACTCAGCTCTGCACCAAGTGGACCTAATAGACATCTACAGAACTCTCCACCCCAAATCAACAGAATATATATTTTTTTCAGCACCACACCACACCTATTCCAAAATTGACCACATAGTTGGAAGTAAAGCACTCCTAAGCAAACGTAAAAGAACAGAAATTATAACAAACTGTCTCTCAGACCACAGTGCAATCAAACTAGACCTCAGGATTAAGAAACTCACTCCAAACCACTTAACTACATGGAAACTGAACAACCTGCTCCTGAATGACTACTGGGTACATAACGAAATAAAGGCAGAAATAAAGTTGTTCTTTGAAACCAACGAGAACAAAGACACAACATACCAGAATCTCTGGGATGCATTCAAAGCAGTGTGTAGAGGGAAATTTATAGCACTAAATGCCCACAAGAGAAAGCAGGAAAGATCCAAAATTGACACCCTAACATCACAATTAAAAGAACTAGAAAAGCAAGAGCAAACACATTCAAAAGCTAGCAGAAGGCAAGAAATAACTAAAATCAGAGCAGAACTGAAGGAAATAGAGACACAAAAAACCCTTCAAAAAATCAATGAATCCAGGAGCTGGTTTTTTGAAAGGATCAACAAAATTGATAGACCACTAGCAAGACTAATAAAGAAGAAAAGAGAGAAGAATCAAATAGACACAATAAAAAATGATAAAGGGGATATCACCACCGATCCCACAGAAATACAAACTACCATCAGAGAATACTGCAAACACCTCTACGCAAATAAACTAGAAAATCTAGCAGAAATGGATAAATTCCTTGACACATACACTCTCCCAAGACTAAACCAGGAAGAAGTTGACTCTCTGAATAGACCAATAACAGGATCTGAAATTGTGGCAATAATCAATTGTTTACCAACCAAAAAGAGTCCAGGCCAGATGGATTCACAGCCGAATTTTACCAGAGGTACAAGGAGGAACTGGTACCATTCCTTCTGAAACTATTCCAATCAATAGAAAAAGAGGGAGTCCTCCCTAACTCATTTTATGAGGCCAGCATCATTCTGATACCAAAGCCGGGCAGAGATACAACCAAAAAAGAGAATTTTAGACCAATATCCTTGATGAACATCGATCCAAAAATCCTCAATAAAATACTGGCAAAACGAATCCAGCAGCACATCAAAAAGCTTATCCACCATGATCAAGTGGGCTTCATCCCTGGGATGCAAGGCTGGTTCAATATACGCAAATCAATAAATGTAATCCAGCATATAAACAGAGCCAAAGACAAAAACCACATGATTATCTCAATAGATGCAGAAAAAGCCTTTGACAAAATTCAACAACCCTTCATGCTAAAAACTCTCAATAAATTAGGTATTGATGGGAAGTATTTCAAAGTAATAAGAGCTATCTATGACAAACCCACAGCCAATATCATACTGAATGGGCAAAAACTGGAAGCATTCCCTTTGAAAACTGGCACAAGACAGGGATGTCCTCTCTCACCACTCCTATTCAACATAGTGTTGGAAGTTCTGGCCAGGGCAATTAGGTAGGAGAAGGAAATAAAGGGTATTCAATTAGGAAAAGAGGAAGTCAAATTGTCCCTGTTTGCAGATGACATGATTGTATATCTAGAAAACCCCATTGTCTCAGCCCAAAATCTCCTTAAGCTGATAAATAACTTCAGCAAAGTCTCAGGATACAAAACCAATGTACAAAAATCACAAGCATTCTTATACACCAACAACAGACAAACAGAGAGCCAAATCATGAGTGAACTCCCATTCACAATTGCTTCAAAGAGAATAAAATACCTAGGAATCCAACTTACAAGGGATGTGAAGGACCTCTTCAGGGAGAACTACAAACCACTGCTCAAGGAAATAAAAGAGGATACAAACAAATGGAAGAACATTCCACGCTCATGGGTAGGAAGAATCAATATCGTGAAAAAGGCCATACTGCCCAAGGTAATTTACAGATTCAATGCCATCCCCATCAAGCTACCAATGCCTTTTTTCACAGAATTGGAAAAAACTACTTTAAAGTTCATATGGAACCAAAAAAGAGCCCGCATCACCAAGTCAATCCTAAGCCAAAAGAACAAAGCTGGAGGCATCACACTACCTGACTTCAAACTATACTACAAGGCTACAGTAACCAAAACAGCATGGTACTGGTACCAAAACAGAGATATAGATCAATGGAACAGAACAGAGCCCTCAGAAATAAAGCCGCATATCTACAACTATCTGATCTTTGACAAACCTGACAAAAACAAGCAATGGGGAAAGGATTCCCTATTTAATAAATGGTGCTGGGAAAACTGACTAGCCATATGTAGAAAGCTGAAACTGGATCCCTTCCTTACACCTTATACAAAAATCAATTCAAGATGGATTAAAGACTTAAACATTAGACCTAAAACCATAAAAACCCTAGAAGAAAACCTAGGCATTACCATTCAGGACATAGGCACAGGCAAGGACTTCATGTCTAAAACACCAAAAGCAATGGCAACAAAAGGCAAAATTGACAAATGGGATCTAATTAAACTAAAGAGCTTCTGCACAGCAAAAGAAACTACCATCAGAGTGAACAGGCAACCGACAAAATGGGAGAAAATTTTCGCAACCTACTCATCTGACAAAGGGCTAATATCCAGAATCTACAATGAACTCAAACAGCTTTACAAGAAAAAAACAAACAACCCCATCAAAAAGTGGGTGAAGGACATGAACAGACACTTTTCAAAAGAAGACATTTATGCAGCCAAAAAACACATGAAAAAATGCTCATCATCACTGGCCATCAGAGAAATGCAAATCAAAACCACAATGAGATACCATCTCACACCAGTTAGAATGGCAATCATTAAAAAGTCAGGAAACAACAGGTGCTGGAGAGGATGTGGAGAAATAGGAACACTTTTACACTGTTGGTGGGACTGTAAGCTAGTTCAACCATTGTGGAAGTCAGTGTGGTGATTCTTCAGGGATCTAGAACTAGAAATACCATTTGACCCAGCCATCCCATTACTGGGTATATACCCAAAGAACTCTAAATCATGCTGCTATAAAGACAGATGCACTTGTATGTTTATTGCGGCATTATTCACAATAGCAAAGACTTGGAACCAACCCAAATGCCCAACAATGGTAGATTGGATTAAGAAAATGTGGCACATATACACCATGGAATACTATGCAGCCATAAAAAATGATGAGTTCATGTCCTTTGTAGGGACAGGGATGAAATTAGAAAGCATCATTCTCAGTAAGCTATCGCAAGAACAAAAAACCAAGCACCGCATATTCTCACTCATAGGTGGGAATTGAACAATGAGATCACACGGACACAGGAAGGGGAATATCACACTCTGGGGACTGTTGTGGGGTGGGGGGAGCGGGGAGGGATAGCATTGGGAGATATACCTAATGCTAGATGATGAGTTAGTGGGTGCAGCGCACCAGCATGGCACATGTATACATATGTAACTAACCTGCACAGTGTGCACATGTACCCTAAAACTTAAAGTATAATAAAAAAAAAAAAGAAAAAAAAAGATTTTCAACCTGAATATACCCAGCCAACTAATAGGTAAGTGTGAGGGCACACTGTAGACATGTTTAGATGTTAGGATCAGAATGCTTACTGTTCATGCATCTTTTAAAAAAATTGCTTCAGGGAAATAAAAAAAGAATACAAGAAAGAGGACACCATGGGTTGTAAAAGAAGGGAAAGATGTGAAAATTTCAGAAAATAAAAGTATGTTTTATAAAATTAATGCCTCTCCTTTGAAGAAATAAAACCAGGTATTGTTGACAGGATTGCCACTAGTGATTGAAACTGGTTAGGAAGACCTTTCACTTTGCATTTTATACTCTTCTGTATTATTGTATTATCTGCATTTATTTTTGTTTTGAATACAGATTACTTGCAGTCTTCTTTTTTTTTTTGAGGCAGAATCTCACTCTGTCACCCAGGCTGGAGTGCAGCCGCACAGCTTTGGCTCACTGCAACCTCTGCCTCCTGGATTCAAGCAATTCTCATGCTTCAACCTCCTGAGTAGCTGGCATTATAGGCGGGCGCCACCATGCCTGGATAATTTTTGTATTTTTAGTAGAGACGAGGTTTCACCATGTTGGCCAGCCTGGTCTCCAACTCCTGGCCTCAGGTGATCTGCCCACCTCAGCCTCCAAAGTGTTGGGATTACAGGCATAAGCCACCACACCTGGCCCATATTATCTTTTAATCCTGCTGTCAGAGACGTGTGAACCAGAGCAACTCCATTTTGAGTGAGGGCTAGCAAAATGAAGCTGGGACTTGCTGGGCTGTGTTTCTAGAAAGTTTGGTATTCCTAGCCTCTAGATGTTTATGGTTAAAGGAACAAATTAATAATGTTTACTGAAGAGACCCAGACTTGGGAGTGTCCAGATCAAAGGCATTTCTAATTTTGCTTTAAAGATAATAATGTTAATTCTTGCAAAATATAGTAATTAATAAATCAATCCTTTATCACAAACCCTTGTGATACAAATACAAAAATTTGCTGGGCATAGTGACACGGGCCTGTGATCCCAGCTATTCAGGAGGCTGAGGCAGGAGAATTGCTTGAACCCAGGAGCCAGAGGTTGCAGTGAGCTGAGATCACGCCACTGCACTCCAGCCTGGGCGACAGAGCAAGACTCTTTCTCTCAAAAAAAAAAAAAAAAAAAAAAAAAAAGATGATATGGAAAAAGTGTTGTGAAAGCTCTTACTTTTACATTCTACCAACCCTGTATAAGGTCGGTGTCAGAGTCAAGCAATTAATAATCACAATTGGGGTGGACAATTTAGCATCTAGGTCAGTGATTAGCAAGTAATAGTTTTCTCATCCATGTTTGTTGAATTAGCATAAGATATTATGGCTTATGTACTGATATGGCTGGCTACTTTATCAAGGCAGTAATTTGTCCTTTATTCTTGCTGCTGTAGATATTTTTCCCTTTCCCAAGCTAAGAAGGTAGCCACGTCTTGTGTTTTTTGTTTTTGTTTTTACCTAGGTGGTTTTTGTATTCCATCAGGAAGCAGACATTGCCAAGCAAGAGAAGACAACTCCTTCTTAGCCTTTTGTTTGCAATAACCTTGGCTCAGTGAGAGTTATGTAGAAAGTAAGTGCATGAAACTTAACAGGTAGAAGCTGTGGGACCCAAGGGGAGAGGAAGATTCCTGAGACTAACAGATGGAGTCGGGTTCTGGGAGGCGGTGGGGGTGATTCTGTGCTGAGCAAAAGTATCACCCCAGGATTGCACAGTCTCAGGCTGGTGGACTCCAAGAATATAGTCCTGGGAGCAATGGCACAGATATCCCCTGCCTACCGTCAGAAGACCATGTGGGCAGGGATGGTGAACTTAACAGAGACCAGCATGGACAGAGGTCTAGAGGACTCTTCTCCAACTCCTCCCACCAGCTATTCTCTGGGACCTGAGGAGGTAGAGAACCCTACTGAGGAGTGAGATTGAATATCCCACCAACTGGATGGCTGGGGGTTCAGGGCAGATTAAAATTGTTTAGCATAAATTTTCAGCTTGCCACAATACTACCATCCTTGACAGTGCTTGCTTGGTCAATGACTCATCTAGAGCATAAAATGAAAAATGATTCACAGTATATGAGAGCTAGCTGTGACTTCTATGTTCATCTAATTCAGATTCTTCATTTTTAGGTTAGGAGACCAAGGTAAAAGATATAAAAGAACTAGGCCAGGTGTGATGGCTCATGCCTGTAATCTCAGTGTTTTGGAAGGCCAAGGTAGGAGGATTGCTTGAAGCTAGGAGTTCAAGACCATCCTGAGCAACATAGCGAGATCCTGTCTCTACAAAAAATAAAAAAATTAGCTGGGTGTGATGGTGTGCACCTGTTGTCCTAGCTACTTGGGAGATTGAGGTGGGAGGATTGCTTGAGTCCAGGAGTTAGAGGTTGCAGTGAGCTATGATCATGCCACTATACTCAAGCCTGGGTGACGGAGTGAGACAATGTGTCTGGAAAAAAAAAGATATAAAAAAAACTTGTTCTAAGTCATGAGCCCAAAGCCAGTGCAGGGCTGAGACAGTGGGCTGTCAACCCTCAGTTGAGCTATGACTAGCCCTTACGAAAGTAAGATCTTACAATTTTAAATGCAATAAAAATGGAAACTTTAAAAATATCCAGATCTGATAGTGGAGGTATCTGATAGTGGCTATGTGTATTTTCCAGTTAATCCCCACTATAGAAATTGTAAACAGATGACCTGAGTCATACATAAAGTGGGTGATATTACAGTTCGAGAATTAAATACCTCTTCTGTAGGCATTTTAAATATGGATATGTGTATGTATGTGTGTTAATATACAGACACACAAACAGAAATCTTTCCGCTATCAAACACTGGGCAGAAATTTCTTTTCAGTTGTGTGTGTGTGTGCTTGCATGTGCATGTGTGTATGTATGTGTATTAAACCTACTTAATAGCTAAATAAAAAGTTTATTTATAATTTATGATTGGGTCTTCTTTCGTAAGAATCACCCTGTATAATAATACTTCTAGTCTAACTTCCCCCAATATCCAGTATTTTTCTAATCTATGTCTTTGTCCACCTTCTCACCCTTCACTCTTTGCAGGTAAAAGGCTGATTGGAGTTTGGCTTCTTATTTCTCTCCGGACAACTGTGGCAGAGAATACAACCATCCTATGCATAACAGCCTCTTTCTAGCTGAACAAGCAGCCTGCACTACCACTCCATTATGAGAAGACCTAGGTAGCCTGAGTGTTCATCCAGCAGCAGCCTGTGGGTCACTGTGAGTTCAGACCCTGCTCTGGGCAGATTCAAAAGGCAGGGTGTGAGGATGGCAATGCCCACATGGCAAAAGCCTGTCCTTTAGATGCGGCACCACTGAGAGATGCTGTGTCACAGGAGGTTGGCCTGGCTTATCCAGCTGTCTGTTCAGATGTTCCCATAGGATTCTCTCTGCCAGCAGAGTCCACGGCGAATGTGGATAAACAGTAGTACCATTAGGACAGCAGATATCAGGCAAAAGGCAACAGCAAAGATGACCTTTAGAACTGTGGGAAAATAGGAAAAGTATTAATGTAAAATTAATGCATTAGGAAAATAGGAAGATCACATGTGAGTGTTGCTTTCTGCCTTAATTGCAAATTTCAGAGGAGTTGCTAAAGAGGCCTTGAAATCAGCATTATGTGTGTGCTAAGAAGAGCACAGGACTAGGAGTCAGGAGATGACCTAGGTTCCAGTTCCAGCATAAACTTTGACCCTTGAGATTCAGCTCCCCACTGAAAAGGGAGGGTAATTAGCTGAAGTATTTCTAAGTCCTCTTATAGCACTAACTTTATGCATTTTTTACAGTTATATTACCAATTGTCCATGGTCTCAGGGTCAAAGGAAATTCTGAATGCTCAACTGCAATCAATTGGATCTAAAAGAAATGAAATCCTTCGATTTTTAAATTTGATTTTTAGGTAAATATTTGTTGAAGAGGAGATCTTGTGCACATTTTGTCTCTATGGCAAACATTTCTAGCATAACTGTGTACTATTTCTAATATGTACCTTTATTTACACATATTCTTTTGATAGCTGACCAGTAAAAGCAGATATTTGGGGCCATTTCGTAATGAGATGCTAATTCATTATTTCATCTGGAAAGTTACTCTCCTATACACGCACCCTAGTCCACTATAGTATACACATCATAAATACCAGTTTGTACCATCTCTAAATGTATGTCTTTTCATTGTAAAAATATAGGGTTTCTTGTTGGCTTAGGCAATAGGAGAGCAAACATCCCTCTGATCCCATCAGCTCTTTCTACAGAACCCTAGTGCAGCATAGAAGACAGGTGAAAATCACTGATTTCACCTGACATTATCATTAAGAGAATGAGGAAAATAAGAAGCAGAGCAATTAGATAATCTGGTTATGGTTAAGCAGATAATTGTATTGGGGTTGGGATCTTATCAGTCTCATGATTTTAAAAACCATCTATTCAGTAATTACTTCCAAATATAAATCTCCAGCTCTGACATCTATCTTAAGCGCAAGACTCATTTATCCAATTGTATACTTGATATGTTTCTTTAGATATCTAATAGGCATTTCAATCTCAAGTCCAAAACTGAACTCTTGATCTCCCCATCCTCATTCCCCACACCAAATTTGCTCTTCCCAGAGCCTTCCCTCTTCTCAGTTGATGGAAACTCCCTTCTTCTGTTGGCTTAGGATAAAACTCTTGGAGTCTTCTTTAACTCCTTTATTTTTCTCACAGCTTACACTATCAGGAAATCCTATTGGTCTTACTGAAAAATATATCCCAACACTGACTTCTTTTCTTCTCTGCCACCACCCTGCTTTGAACCACCATCGTCTTTTGCCAGGATCACTATAATGGCCTCTTATTTGTTCCCTTGTTTCTATCTATCCTTTCTCCTTTGTAATTTTTTTTTTTTTTTTGAGACAGAGTTTCACTCTGTCACCCAAGCTGGAGTGCAGTGGCATGATCTTGGCTCATGCAGCCTCGACTGCCCAGGCTCAAGTGATCCTCTCACCTCACCCTCCCTAGTAACTGGGAATACAGGCATGCACCTCCATGCCTAGCTAATTTTTGTATTATTTGTAGAGATGGGGTTTTGTCATGTTGCCCGGGCTGGTCTTGAACTCTTAAGCTCAAATGATCCATCTGCCTCAGCCTCCTAAAGTCCTGGGATTACAGACGTGAGCCACCACACCTGGCCACAAGGCCACAATCCTTTTTTTTTTTTGGGAGATGGAGTCTTGCTGTGTTGCCCAAGCTGGAGTGCAGTGGCACCATCTCGGCTCACTGCAACCTCTGCCTTCCAGGTTCAAGGGATTCTCCTGCCTCAGCCTCCCAGTAGCTGGGATTACAGGTGCCCGCTACAATGCCTGGCTAATTTTTTTTTGTATTTTTAGTAGAGACAGGGTTTCACCATGTTGACCAGGCTGACCATGAACTCCTGACTTCAGGTGATCCACCCACCACCACCTGCACCTCCCAAAGTGCTGGGATTACAGTCATAAGCCACCGTGCCTGGACCACAATCCATTTTTAACACAGCAGTCAAATGACTTAAAGTCAAATCATGCCACTTCTCTCCTTAAAACAAAGTCTGCAATGAATGCTCATCTCAATCAGAATAAAAGCTACAGTTCTAATGATGATAGTTTATGAGGATCCACATCATCTGTCTCCTATGAGTCCCCTCACATTTCCTCTCCTATCACCCTCCCTTCACTCACTCACTTCTGGCCTCATAATCCTTATGCTGTTCTTCAAACATGCCAAGCAGTCCTGCCTTAGTGACTTTGCTATACCTGTTATCATGGCCTGAATGCTCTCCCACACATCCCTTGCTTTCTTTGCCTAAATCTCATCTCCATGAGACCTTCCCATTTAAAAGTGCATCTTGTATATCCTCCTTCACTTCACCCCAAATTGGCCATTGTGATCCTCATCTTCCAAAACACTTATTATGCTTATTATTTGTTATCTATCCCTCTCTCCCTCTAGTAGAACACAAGCTTTGCAAAGGCAGGAACTTTTGTCTTTTTTGTTCATGAATGTATCTCAAGCACTGAGAACAGTATCTGGCACATAACGAGTACTAATAAATGTTTGTAGAAAAAACTTAATGACTTAGAACTTATAAGTTCCCAACTCTTAGTCCAGTATTTTCTGATGATGCCAGGATGCTTCTTAGCATCACGAAAAGGTGGTTTTAAGTTATACCCTGAGAGACAGTCTCATTAGAACTGCAGATAGATTTAATATAAGTTTAAGGCAACTAAATGAAATTGAAGAGGGAAAGAAAGGACTCAGTGGAAATGAGGAAGGCAGATAGTAGTGATCCTTAAAAATCTATTTTCATGGCTGACTCTGTATTTAGAAATTTATTTTCAGTTATTTTTATGGGCTGTGTTGTCATAGCAGTCTGATGGAACATGCTTTTCTGCTCTTTATCCTTCCTTCTTTCCTTTCTAGACATGTGGTGAGCACACATGTACCAGGTAGGCTGTACTGGATGCTGAGGTTCCATAATCTCTGCCCTCGAGGAGCTCAATGTCTAGCAGGAGAACCAGAAAGGTAATTACAAGATACTGTGATAACTACTAAAATGGAGGTGCAAAAGAAATGCTATTGAAACAAAGAGAAAGTTGCAGTCAGCAGAGTGTATTCTATTTGAAAGAGAAAGAGTTTGGAAAGTCTTCTAAGAATTGAGCTGACCTGCAAGGTGAGTAAGACTTTGCCATGAAACAGAAAGAGTTTCACAAGGGCATGTTTAGGACATAATGAGGAGTTACACATGACTGGAATACAGGCTTCAGGGAGGTGAAACCACATGTGTAAATGGGGGGCCAGTTTGTTTTTGTTTTTGTTTTTGTTTTTTGAGATAGGGTCTCACTGCATTGCTCAGGCTGGAGTGCAGTGGTGCAATCACTGCTCACTGCAGCCTCAACCTCCTAAGCCCGGGTGATCCTCCCACCTCAGCCTCCCGGGGGAAGCTGGGACCACAGATGCATGCCACCATGCTCAGCTAATTTTTTTGTATTTTTTGTAGAGATAGAGCCTCACTATGTTACCCAGGCAGGTCCTAAACTCTTGGGCTCAAGCGATTATCCCACCTCGGACTCTCAAGGTGCTGGGATTACAGGCATGAGCCACTGTGCCTGGCCAGGGGCCAGTTTTTAGAGTGCTTGGTTTGACGTGGGGCAAATGGAAGTCATCAGCAATTATTACATATGGAAGTGATACAGCCCACTCTGTGTTTATTTTATTTTTATTTATTTATTTATTTTTTGAGATGGAGTTTCACTTCATTGCCTAGGCTAGAGTGCAGTGGCACGATCTCGGTTCACTGCAACCTCCGCCTCCCGGGTTCAAGCAATTCTCCTGTCTCAGCCTCCTGAGTGGCTGGGACTACAGGTGCCTGCCACCATGCCCGGCCAATTTTTGTATTTTAATAGAGATGGGGTTTCACCTTGTTGGTCAGGCTGGTCTCGAACTCCTGACCTCAGGTGATTCACCCCCTCGGCCTCCCAAAGTGCTGTGATTATAGGCATGAGCCACCGTGCCTGGCCAACCACTCTGTGTTTAAGAAAAACAAAAACTGTGGAAAAGATAGGATGGTGGAGATACATTAGGCTTGATAGAGAACTATTGAAAATACCTTTAATATGACACTCAGGGCTTAGAACCGCAATTGTGGCCCTGGGAACGAAGAGGAGGGAATTCAAGAGATGCAGTAGAATTAACAGGCTTTAGTAACAGGCTACATATACTGGTAAGGGAGGAGCTGTGGTCAAGGCAATCTCATGGCTTCTTGTTTGGGTGATTGAGAAGATAAATTGAGATTGGGACCACAAAAAAGAATTGGTTTGGAGTAGAGAAGATAATTTATTTTGTCTCCAGTGTGGGATTGAGACAGGTTATTATCCTGATAGAGACTATCAGTAGGCAGCTTGACAAAACAGGTCAAGAATTCTACAGTTAGATGTAGAAATAAGGATTGTAGACATAGAAGACAGAGGCCTGGGTATACTGGCTAATACTGAATGTGGAATGAGGAACCTGAAAACAAAGAAAAGACTCAGGTGAGCGCGTATGCTTTCTCTCCCTGTGATATTTATTTATTTATTTATTTATTTATTTTTAAATGATATGCTCCTTTGTACTGTAAAATATTTCAGGAGTTTGCCAGAGCATTGTCCTAGACACTGAGAAAAGAGAGCATGATTAATTGTATCTTAATACAAAGAGATCTCGTACAGGTAATGACTGAAAAGGGTCTTCCTAAAACAAGAAGCCAGTTACAGCATCTGTCCTCTGCCTAAAACCTTTCCATGAGCACAACAGCTCAACTTGACCTATGGAGCACTTAGTGCTTGCCTCTGCAGCCTCAGCTCTCCACACATTCACTAGACTTTTTCCAGTTCCCAAAGTGCTCTATGCTGCCTTTGGCCTCTTGGCCTTTATGCATTCTCCTCTTTTGTCTGTAACATCCTCCTCTCTCCTCACCTTCATTCACCTGCTTAGTACCATTTCTCCTTCAGGTTTCAGTTTGAACATCACTCCTCCAAGAAGCCTTCTCTGACCCATTAGGCTAATTGCCTCTGCTGTGTTTTCTCCTTATGCCCTTCATCGCAGAATTCACCATACTTTGCTGTTAGGGCTGATTTAATTATTCATTTCCTCGTCCACCCCTCCTCTCCATAAGGTCTGCAAGCCATATGGGGACAGTCTTCTTGTCTGCTGCTGTTTACTCAGCAAGCTTAATGCTTGATACATAGGAAAATATTGAGTACATAAGAGGTACTCAGTAAATCTATTGCTTATTAAATAATCATTTATCTTGACCCACCAATCCTATTTTTGGAAATTGGTCTAAGAAAGTAGTCCACAAGACACAGTGGAATGAAAAGTGAGTATGATATGGTAGAAATAGGATGTTGGAAAGTGTTAGGCTTGAATCCTGATCCTATTACTTGTGGCATGTTATCCTCTGAGGTTCAGTTTTCTTCTCTGTAAATTGGGGATACTAATAGCTGCTTCACAATGAAAGAAAGGCCACTGAATTAGACACTGATGGCTTTCAAAAGAGAAGTTAAAAAAAAAAGAGATGACAGAAGGGTGGACATAATTTTACAGAATAGTTAAAGCATAAGATGGATGTGAGAAAATAGTACAAGAACATGTGAATCATTAGTTCAAGAAAATTGAGATTGAAGAGAGTGAGGTGGAATAAGCACTTGATGGTGTTTTGATGAGAGGATATTTGGGCATTTTCGTAGTATAAGGGAAGGAGCCAGGGCAGAGGAAGAAAGTGAAGTTAGCCAAGAGATTCCCTGGGGTCCTGAGGAGACTGCGGAGATGGGTTCACACTCACAATGAGGTCAGCCCATGCAGGGAGGAATGTGGTTTCCTGAGGGACAGCAGCAAAGGAAGGTTAAAGCTACTGAGATATTTTTGAGATTGTGAGAGTAGAACTTAAAGGACTTATCAATAGATTATCTTGCTTATAAGAATAAAGAAAACAAAATGGAGTCAGACTTTTGGGACAAACAGGCCTTCCTGCAGGGAGTAGGAAAAGTGTTCAGTAGGGGTGAATACATTTACCAAGAAACACTGAGAGACTCAGTTGAGGATGGAATAAAATGTCTACATTCATCGTTTGAAATGGTGACAATAGGCTTGGACTTTTGCTTGCTTCAGCTCTACTCACAGATCAGAATGAAAAAACCATGTGACTGACTTGATCTAGAGGCTTAGGTATTGGCATGGTGAGCAGTGTATGGGACAGGTCAGCGTTATAGCTGTCAGAATTGCCTAGGTTTAGGGCAGGAGTGGAGTGAGGAGTGAATCGGAGCATACCAAAGCAAGTTGCCAATGTCTTTAGCAAATGGTGAGATATATTCCAAGAAACTGAAGATAATGGCAACAAGAATGAGGAAACAGTTATTTTAATCAGATGGCCTCATCTTTGAGGGAGGAGCGGTGCTGGATATCATTGAACAAGGGATATCATTGAACAAGGGATATCACTGAACAAGGGATATCATTGAACAAGGGCTTTTAATAGCAATGGAGGAACATGAGAATGCCAAAACAACTATGCTGAAAACAGAAGTCAAATACTACAGACATGTTGGCACATAGAAATGTGTTTATGGCCAATGATTGGGTCTCTACAGTATAATCACTTTTGAGGCTCATTCATAGCTTCTCTCTCTTATTTATAAATAAACTGAGTTCCAGGCTTCTGACTTCTGAGCTCAGCCACAAGGAAGCCATGCTAGGTATGCAGGGCTGGACATGTATTCAGTTAGCAAATATTGATTGAAGGCACAAGGTTCTAGGCGTTGTCTACTGGCTGAACACTCAAAGAGGAAACATGTATGGATCCTGCCTTTAAGAAGCTCAAGGTTGAATCTTGGGCATGTGTATTTGTGCTGTAGATTCTCAGCTTTAGAAAGATAATGAGAGAAAACTGGGACTTCTCACTAGTAAGTCTCCTTCTTGTGAAATAATTAGAGTTGGACATTGAGATGGGGGTGGGAGAGCACTAGTGAAGAAAGTCTGAATGTGTTAGTAAAATGTTGGAATTAAAGAAGCAGTTTGACAAATTTTATTATTTTCAAGCAATGTGCTATGGCCTTAGACTTGTGAATTTTCCAGCAAAGACTCTGGTGAATTTAATTGATACGATCTGGAATCTGGTTAAGTGAGCCTACTGGCACTAGCTAAAAACACTGCTTATAGTTATGGATAGAATTTAATGGGTGGAAACCCCTACTCTAAGGAGTAGGGTTGCAAAGTATCTTGCATATATAGGACATATCCTATATTTAATGATTTTGTCCTGCTTCCTGTATCGGCTTTTTCAGAACATCCTAAGTGTCCTGTATTGTTTTTTTTTTTTTTTCCAATGAATTACAAAAACTTGGCAGTTACAGCCTTTTGTCAAATTTATCTCGGCATCCTGTACTTTTATTTGCTAGATTTGGTGGCCAAACTAATGAGCCACTCAACCCCTACAATCTTCCATGTTTCAGCCTTCTCTGTAGTATCTCTCTTCTAAGGTGAGTGGCCACCCAGCCTAATGGGCACTTCTTACCTCAGGAGTTTCCCAACACTGAACGAAAATCTGTCTCCCTGAAATTTTTACCTGCTGCCCCTAGCATCCCTCTTTAAGATCATACTGAATAAATCTAATCCTTTTCTTTACAGAAGTTCAAATATTGAACTCACTGTATTAGAGGCCACCTCATGTCACAGACTCTTAACAAACTTTCTATGAGCCCAAACCAGTGGTGTGGTGGTAGGATTTGTAGCATTTAATTTCTTTGGTGAAAATACTCCTGCCACATTGGAGCTGCCCAGGTGAAGTGGTTGAACTGAGAGTTGGGAACTGATGGACACATTCCACTCTTGAGATCTGTATGAGCGGGCTGCAGCACATCAACCCTTACATTTTTCTTTCTATTAACATTTTTTGCTGCTTAATCATATTTCACTCTACCTGCATATTGTTATTTGTGTTTTGAGGGAAAGAATTCTGCAAACATACCACAGGTAGATTTACAAGAGGAGGTGAGAGACTATGGAGAATGAAGGAGAGGGTAGGGTAAAAAATAACTCCTAAGTTACCAGGTATTGCTGCTCATCAAGATAGACAAGAGTAGGGTCAGGGGAAAAGGTAACAAATTTATTTATTTATTTATTTATTTATTTAGACAGAGTCTCGCTCTGTTGCCCAGGCTGGAGTGCAGTGGCGCGATCTCGGCTCACTGCAAGTTCCGCTTCCCGGGTTCACGCCATTCTCCTGCCTCAGCCTCCCGAGTAGCTGGGACTACAGGTGCCCGCCACCATGCCCGGCTTTTTGTATTTTTAGTAGAGATGGGGTTTCACCGTGTTAGCCAGGATGGTCTCAATCTCCTGACCTTGTGATCCGCCCACCTTGGCCTCCCAAAGTGCTGGGATTACAGGCCTGAGCCACCTCGCCTGGCCTCAAACTGATTTTACGTGGTACAGTTGCTACCTTCTGCAGAAAGCCTTTCCTGACCTTCCTTACTTCCCCTACTCCAAATCTGGATAACTCTTGTTCCCACAGTAATCTGTGTAGTCATAAGACATAGCCCTGGTTTTTCCATGTTGTACAGTATGTATCTCTTTACTTCCCTAGTATATTGTGCACTTCCTGAGGGTGTTTCCTTAGCAAATTCCATCTTAAATAGATGAGGCAGAGCCATCCACAGCTTCACCTTTATCTGAAGTGGTAAAGTCCAAACTATATTTTCAATGTAAAATGTTCATTTAAGCCAGTCAAATCATTTTACTTTATATTAATATTTTCCATCTTGTTATACTAAAACAAAAACCCCAAACACAAAGGGAGCTCCTGAAATCTGCCTAGAGGAATTTTATTCTAATTAAACACACACACATACGTTTTTCTAAGTTCATTATAAAAGCAATGCTTTTGAACTTCCTAATAATGACTTTATTCACTATTTTACATTTGGCTCACTGCTAGAAGACAGTTACAAGCATAGAAAATGGACCCAAGGACAAACATTTACTTGGGAGGGAAATAACACAAAGAAGCATATCAATCGATGTCTTTGTCAGTCATTCTGTGACCAACCAGGAGCGGGGATGGCTTTGCTCTAGATTCTGGCAGCCAGTAGAAACCATCTCTAGAAACCATCTCATCTTTATCCATAATGGTAATAGAGCACAGTGTTCTCTAGACATGTAGATCTGCCACATGGCAAAGCTATATCATGATTTCTTCTTGCAGAGTGGGCAGTTTCAGCAGGACCTGTAAGTTTGCTTAGGTTTTCTGAAGATATCGGCATTAAAGACTTACACATTCCTTTTGTCCTCCTAACGTATTTCGTAACCACACTCTCAACATTCCAATAAGTTTTGAACTTGGAGGCACTTAGAACATAATTACATTTCTAATTTTGTTTCAGTTTGATATGTGTCCCTTCCTTCCTTTTTTTGGTAGAGACAGTGTCTCACTATGTTGACCAGGCTGGTCTTGAACACACCAGGCCTAAAGTGATCCTCCTGCCTCAGCCTTCCAAAATGCAAGGATTACAGGTGTGAGCCACTGTGCCTGGCCTATACTTCCTTTCTTAATCAACTTTGTTTTTATTTATTTATTTATTTATTTATTTATTTATTTATTTATTTATTGAGACAGGGTCTCGCTCTCTTGCCCTGGCTGGAGTACAGTAGTGCACTCTTGGCTCACTGTAGCCTCGACCTCCGGGGCTCAAGTGATCCTCCTGCCTTAGCCCCACAAGTAGTGGGACTATAGGCACACACCACCATGCCCATCTAAGTTTTTGTATTTTATGTAGAGACCAGGTTTCACCATGTTGCCCAGGCTGATCTTGACCTCCTGAGCTCAAGTGATCTGCCCACCTCGGACTCCCAAAATGCTGGGATTATAGGCGTAAACCACCATGCCTGGCCTTAAATCAACTTTAGAGTCAACATCTCTTATCACTGGAGCTTCTAGAGAAACTCCATCACGTGGTGCTCTCTTTCCTGATGTGTTGTGCCCAAATAGCTTGTTCTCATCAGATGACTTATTTGCTATGATATATATACTTCAAGAGCTGCTATATGTATTACATACATCAAATCTTTCTGTAAAGTTTGATTTTTGTTTCTTTAAAAGGAACATAAATGTTCCAGGACCAAGGGACACAAAGAGGTTTTAATTTTTAGTTCTGTAGCCTCATATATTTTAACAGAAATATAAAAACAGATAGTAGCAGTTTTCCAGTGGAGAAAACTTTCCAGATGTCTCCACTGTATCTCCTTTCTTTGCCTCTCCTTGAGAGAAGGCTGGAACTGATGGGTAAATTGGTTTTTTGCCCATCAGCCTATTCACATCTTTCCTTCCTTGTTCCCATCCTAGATTGTGGGGTTTTTTTTTGAAATCTGTTCCATTTCAGACATTTAAAGAACAGCCTTATCTAATCCTGCTCAAGCAAAATCTCAGAATCCTTAAATACAAAAGATCCTGTGTGGCCAGTCATATAGTTCATGGGAACTCTATGAACTTTGACCTAAGCTTTATCTCTGATTATATTTTGGCACTGCTGCCCCTTTACATTAACGCTGAAAAACAAAACAAAACTTAGCTAAGTTTTATGGCAAGTGGGGGCAGGGTCAGGTGAAGAGGTAGGAATTGCCTGAGGTTGGGGGTCCCTAAAACATAAAATAATCATCCAAAGCCCATTTTCCTCAAAGCTGGGGGTAATGGCCAAAGTATGTTCTCAAAGCATCATCTGCCCTGAGAAAGGGCAGCTACTCCTTCTACAGAGATCTCTGTGCACACTAATCTGTACTGTCTTCAGTACCTTGATGGCTGTTTGTGGTCATACACTCCGTGGACCAGTCTTGAGGGATCACAGGGCCAACCAGCTCAGCAAACCTCTCCAGAGGACAGCTGGGGCTGCAGCCAGGTAGCATGAGGGGATACGGCTCGTGCTGCGTCTCATTCCGATAGTACATCTCCACAAAGTACTCCCTGGCAGACAAAGGCAGAGGAGAGAGCTCTGTTAGTTCTGTGTTGTTGAACTGCCACTGAATTTCTTTCCACTTGGACTATTACATGCCAGTTGAGGGACTAATGGAAAAACTTATGGGGAGATTTTAGCCAATTTAGGTGTGTAAATGGGGAGACTGGGGCAGGCGGGAGAGATTTGCAGGGTGGAAATGGGAGGGCTGGTTTGTTAGATGAACAGGGACATAGGAGGTAGGCACCAGGATGCTAAATCAGAGGAGGTGGTGAGAAGTGATGGTTGCAGGGAGCTGGGTGGGACTTTGAGCCTTTGGATAAGAAGTGGGAGGCAGGTGGGGGTGTTGGGTTTTCCTTCTCCTCCTCCCTTCTTTTTAGGCTTCTCATTTGCTCCTTTTTTTCTTTTTCTGTTTTCCTACTTGAGTATTTCTTTCAGTCCTCTTTCTGAATGTATCTCCCCTCTCCTTAACTAGGCTATAAACATGGAACTGAATAATATATAACATATGTGCTTGAATATACAGCAAGACTTTATCAGAAAATTATCCCTCAGAACAAAGATGTGGGTATGTGTTCCAGTCCTTCCATTGTGTCACGTTAAGGAGAGCTCTCTCAATGCTTTATCTCAAAAAAACAATGTACTATTTGGGAAGGTCCAATGGTGTAAACTAACCTGAGTTAAACCAGCGTGAGTTGCTTATGGAAGCCATTTGCTAATCAAGGAGTCAGGAGGGGAACTCAAGAAGGATTTAGAGATCCTTCTTTTGGTGTAACCTTACAATGGCTACTTTTGGTTGTCATTATAAACAAGCCTTTTAAAACATCACTTTAAAAAGCCATATAAACATAGTAACAGCAAATATTCACTTATGTCTATAAGGCTGGGCGCAGTGGCTCACGCCTGTAATCCCAGCACTTTGGGAGGTCGAGGCGGGTGGATCACGAGGTCAGGAGATCGAGACCATCCTGGCTAACACGGTGAAACCCCGTCTCTACTAAAAATACAAAAATTAGCTGGGTGTGGTGGCACATGCCTATAGTCCCAGCTATTTGGGAGGCTGGGGCGGGAGAATCACTTGAACCTGGGAGGTGGAGGTTGCAGTTAGCCGAGATCACGCCACTACACTCTAGCCTGGGCAACAGAGCGAGACTCCATCTCAAAAATAAAATAAAATAAAATAAAAATAAAATAAAATAAAATAAAATAAGATAAAATAAAATAAGATGTCTATAAAACTTACAAAAACCTCCCTAATATGTATTATGAATGGGTACTTATATCTTGGAATAACTTTTTCAGTAACAGCATCTTCTGTCTTAAGATGATATGGCCTAGATGACCAATACTCCATCAAACTCTGTTATTCTCTTTCCATAGAATTGAATTATGGCTCAGAAGTGACCACATTGCCAAGACTACGTTGTACCTAGGTAGGACCAAGTCACTAATTTAGCCAGTAGAAAGTGAGCAGAAATGATATGTGTCCCCTTTAAAAGGCTGACGTGGTTGATAAGCGGGTTGCTGCCTCCACCCTTTCATTCCTTTCTACAAGCTGCCTGCAAGTGAGCACAGCACTCTTGAAACCGTAGGTCCAAAGAGGGAACCCTGGGTGCCTGAATCACCACGTGTGAATCACATCTATTAATGTACACCTGCATTGTACTGTTAGATAAGTGTGAAATTAATTTTCATTGGGTTAAGACTTCAAAAATCTGAGGTTCATCTATATAGAAGACAAAATTATCTTTTATTAGTGAATATATCTGGGAAACAATTTTAAAAGACTCAAAATTGGCTTTAGTGGTGAAGACACAAGCCAAAGATGAGTACAAAGAGTTTAGATAAAATCATTTTATAAAATGTAAAAGTGAAACAAAGCAATATTAACTTAATGAATTATTTTATATAGTCTATGATTTTAAATCTCTGTATCTAACCCAAAATTAAATCTTTTAAGAATATTTTTAGCTACCTTTTCTACAACCTGAAAAGTTTACGTATTTAAGATGGTTGAAAATCTAAAATACTCTCTCTTTCTGTCTCTCTCCGTATCTTCTCATAAGAAAATGTGAGATCACTTCACAGTCAGGATCACCTAATAAGCAGGCTTAGACAGAATTCGTTAACTCGAAGCCTCCTTGATCCTAATTTAAAAGCAATCACGTTTCACCTTTGATATTTCCCTGGAGTGCCAATAAAAAAAATCCTAATACAACAACAAATTGGACTTGACCTTTACGTGGCCCTTGGTTAATTTTTTCTGTATGTCACTGCCTTTCAGTTGAAAAAATACTCCACACTTGATTTGTAATATAGATTTAACTCAGGGTCGTAAAACAAGGCAATTCAGTGGGAGAAAATGCTTCTGTGCACTGAGAAAGCAAGCTCTGGACCACTGGGGTCCAGAAACCAGAGAACAGGGAGGTACGAGTAGAGTCAGTAGCTTCTCTTGTCTTATCCCAAAGGAGATGGTGCCTGCTCCTGAAGCTGATCCTGGAATTTGGTTGGATTTATTAACTCTGTGCCCAGAGCTGGCCTTCTGATGGGCAGACTTGTGCCGGGCTTGTTATTAAGAGAGGGTTTTATGTCTCTAGTCGTTTCATTCCCATTTTCTGTTCTATTTGGCCAGTCTCCATTTTGTGGGTCTTACCTCTCCATGCTGACTCTAGATATTTGAGAGCAAGGTTAACTAAGACCACATTTTAGTTCTAGTTCATTGTGCCTGACACTCAGTTAGAGGTTCAATAAAGAATGTATCTACCTGTCCCTAACTGTGCAGAACTCACTTCTTTGTAAGCAGTGAAGATATTGGTTGAGAATGAAGTCTCTGTGCTGTTACTTTCTTACTCTACAAATTCAGGGGCCAGAAAGCTACATCCAAGACTACAAAATTTGCAAGATGAAATACAGGGCCCATTGTTTAAACATTATTACAATTTAAAGATGGCCACAGCAGATCATTAAAACAAGCATGGGCTCTTTTGAGCCAGGTCCCCATGTAACTGCACAGTCAGGTTGGTGTGCAGCTATTGTGAATGCCTTGAGGGAAGGGCAAAATAGATCTCCCTGACTAATCCCAAAACAAACTCTGGGGTCACTGCCTTAACTCAGCCCTTTCCTTGCTCTTATTTCACTAATAATATCCCATGAAGTCTGGTGACTTGTTCCAAATACCTCCTTCTTCTCCTCCCAATGAGAATGTCGTTGTCACAGCAGATAAATATTTTTGGTATGACCTTGGTGTGATAATCAATTCTTCCCCAGTTTTTCCAGGACATTTCTGGTTTTAACAATGAAATTCACATGTTCTGAGAACACCAGATTTCATGGGTCAATTCTGGTGAACTGGGACATTTGGCTACGCTAACTTTGACCCTTCTAATGGGTTCAAGCTAAGCTGTGGTCATCTGGGGAGGGCCACACCAGGTCACACAGAGGTAGACACCAGTTAGAAATTGTACTTTAAGAATCTTGACTTGTGGATATGAATCATCAGAAGCTGAATGAATATGTTTGAATTCTTTAATTGAAAAAATATTATTATATAACCATCAAGAAATTTTTCTCTTGCCAAGTATATATACAATACATGCCTACTTCTTAGAATACCTTAATTTTTTTAAAAATGTAATTTCTGTTACATAGGCTATTTCCCAATTTTTTCATCTACTGTGTATATTATTTTCCAGTAAAAGTCTTCATGAAAAAGAAAAAAGAGACATGACTAGCAAAGATCTTGTTACCACCATTCTTCCCTCTGAATATAAAACCAAATCAAAGACAAACAGGCACACAACCCTTAACCCAAAATAATAATAATGAAACCCAAGGTCCAGTGATACTGATTTTGAAAAGCACTTAGTCACTTACCCCTTCTCAAAGTACAATTCCGTCAAGTGGCAAGAAGCATAGGGAGGAAGGAGTCCGTTGTAAACATCTAGCGCCATCTGTAGGCCACTCACAGTAGTGTCATGCTACAGAGATTGAAATCAATTTTATCGCCTGTTCAGATTCACATTCAATAGGTATGAAGCACTTGTACAGCACCATGATGGCTTCTGATTCAATTAAATTTCCCATACGCCCACAATGACTTAATAAGTAGAGAAGGAAAGATTTTGGTTGAGCATTAGCGGTGTGCTAGGCAGTATGATTTAGATATGTATCATTATTTTCATTTAAAAGATGAAGAAATTGGCTGGGCGTGGTAGCTCATGCCTGTAATCCCAGCACTTTGGGAGCCCGAGGCAGGTGGATCACTTGAGGTCAGGAGTTCGAGACCAGCATGACCAACATGGTGAAACCCCATCCCTACTAAAAAAAAAAAAAAAAGCTGGGTGTGGTGGCATGGGCCTGTAAATCCAGCTACTTGGGAGGCTGAGGCAGGAGAATCGCTTGAACCCGGGAGGCAGAGGTTGCAGTGAGCCAAGATCGTGCCACTGCACTCAGAAGGTGACAGAGCGGGACTCCATCTCGATAAAATAAAATAATTTTAAAAATAATAATAAAAGATGAAGAAATTGAGACCCAGGGAAATTAAGCAACTTGCTTAATGTCATATAACCCCAAATGGAAGAAAGTAAATTTGAATCAAGCCTCCTTAAGTGCTGTGCCTTTTTGAAATATTTTGAAACACATTAATGCTAGATTATATTTTTCTATAGATTAGCATCATCTGTGATTTAAAGTTGTGGAAGAATATATGAGGTTTAAATGTTTAGGGAAGATAAAATACAAGGAAGTATAGGATGCAATTTAAAATAATTGTAAAGCTAAATGTTTACCCCAGAGTGGCTGGAAGGTATAGGGGAGTGGTTTTCAACCCCCTTTCTGCCACTGATTAGCTATCTAATCTTAGGCAGTCCTCAACTTCCATATCTGCAAAATTGGGATAACATTTGGCTGCCTAAACTGTATGGCAGCGTGCACATATTCAAAAGGCGTTAGAAGTAATCTAATAGAGAAAAAAAAAAAGGAGCTACGGATATGACATGCTGGAAGTCACACCACAAGTTAAAACTAGAAATCAGATTAGACACTACGAAAATTGGCAGAAATGACTAATTTCAGGCCTATCTCTCTCCAGGAAGCACTCTGCTCCTGCCCAGGCCTATTTCCCTAGTCTATACCATTTAGGGCTCCTGATAATAAACAAACTTCCTGGCATCTTCAGTCACCTCTTTCACCTTCTTGCATGAATGAAAACATGACTTTCTTTCTCCAGCCACAGCTGAGAAACCTTTTGTCATGGAGATGTGAGTGAAAGGAGTCAGCATGCTATGTCCTGTTTCCCTGCTCATCCCAGACTCCATGGGCAGCTATTTGAATGTATAATACAATTGCAGAATTTTCCCCAAACACTGTGTCTCTCCTTGGCGTCTCAGACTCTTCTCTCCCTGGCTTCTCCAAGATGAAAGCCTTTTCTAAGATCTCTTGCTCTCTTTTCTTTCTACTCCCAAATGTAGCTCCAACTTTGAGTTGCAGTCCTTCTTCCCTTTCCTCCTTCTATTCTCTTTGCCATCTGAAGTTTTCTGCTGGGATGCCCCTGTGGCATTTCAAACCCATTGCCTAATCAGTACATTTGCCTGGCCCAAGACCACCTCCTTCCTGCCACTGAAAACTGAAATCTTGACTTCATCTGGGGCTTCACCTTCCACATCATTGTCTTCCACCCACTTCCAATTCATCACTGAGAATGCACACTCAGCTTTTCTTGTAACCTGGCTCACTTCTTTTCCTCTCCTGCCGCTGCCCTAATTTTAGGCCATATCCCCATTTTTCTAGACTATCACAAAAGCTTTCTACACCATATCCTGTTCCCAACATCCAGTTATTCTATAAAATAATTAATTTCCAAAATGCTGCTCCTATCCTGTCACTCCTGCCCTGCCTTCCCTGAGCAAACACTGACAGGGGGGTTCTCCCTTGCTTCCTTGCTTCTTTCTACAATTAAACAAAGAAGCAGCAGGACAACATGGCCCTTCAGCTGCCATCCAGCATAAACTTCTGACACTCCATATCAGGGCTATCTAAAAAACCTTCCATGATGATGGAGATGTTGTATATCTGTGCTCTCCAATTCAGTAGCCACTGGCTATATATGGCTATTGAACACCTGAAATGTGGCTAATACAACCGAGGGACTTAATTTTTCATTCTACTTAATCATAATTAATTTAAATGTAAGTAGCTACTTCTGGCTACTAGGTTCCATATTGAGCAGCACAGTTAACATCCACTAATTTGGTACCACTTTTTGGACACAACATTCCTGGCCTTCCACTTCTGTCCTAATAATTTACTTTATTTGTCCTACACACTAGTGAGGAGCACTTACTAACCCCTTTCATTTTGATGTGTTGGATGTGCTGCCTTGTCTAGGAAGCCTTTCTGCTTCTCTTCTCCACCCTCTTGGAACAGAAGGGATGGCTAGATTTTCTGAGGTGCCATAGCACTTGCCTGCATGGTATTTCCATCCCATTTTGTATAGTGTTTATGTTTGTCTTCTTGTTAGTTTAGATTATAAATCCCTTAAAGGACAGAATGATGCATTTAATTCTAAAAGCTTTGTGCAAGTGCCTACCACGTACAAGGAGATGGGGAAATGAAGATTAAAAAAAGATGAGGTCCTGTGCTTCAAGAGATCACACACTTGAACAAACATATGTTAAATGAAGATGAAAATACTTACCGCAGAATACATGATGAGTTTTTTGTAGCTTGGTATCTGAGTTGCTCTCTTCATGTGATTGAGGATTTCATTGACCAGGACACCTTAAAGAAGATGAATCAATAACCAAACTGAACCAAACATAAGCTTCTATTTTAGTTCATTAGCTTTTTGTCACTTCATAGTTGCGGACTCTCCCTGCCATGACTTAAGAAGAGGGGCAAAGATCTAATTTTATTGAGCATCTGCTCTGTGCTAGGTAATGTGATTTACATACTTTTTTTTTTTTAAACTGAATCCTACGTCTCAACCCTCATTTTTAGGTAAGGAATCTTAAGTCCAAAGATATTAAGTGACTCACACAGCCAGGTAAGGAAAGCTGGATTGGCACACTAGGACTCTACCATACCGGGTTTTGTTAAAGCTCAGGTTAGGAGGCTGATAAGCTTGGAAGGAACTTCAGACAGCTTTTTCAGATCATAAAAGATAATTCTTAGCCCATGTTCTTCTCCAGAGCAGACCTGAAATGACAGCACAGCAGGTACTCCTCTATTTTCACCCCTCTTGCTTCTACTCTCTGGCAGTCAGACCTGTGGGAGGCCATGGGAGAAAGCAGCTCTCTGGATGTTTGTACAGATCATGGACTATTCTCTGTGGACCATTTCTCCAGGTTACCCTAGGTGTCACTATTGGGGGGACAGCCAGCATCTTTAGCTTTCATTTGAGTTTCTGTCTGTCTTCAGTAGAGGAAACTTTTGCTCTTCACACTTCACATCTGAACACCTAACTGCTGTTGCTCCTGAGGTGGTGAAAGACAGATATAGAGCTTACAGTATTTATCCTATTTCTAGGCACTGAGGGCTGTGGGGTACCTTGTGGTGCCAAAACAGATCCTGTTTTAAGGACATGTTGCTTCAGAGATGTCTGTAACTATCTGGTGTCTCTGTTGGTCTCTTTACCCTGCATCATGTGCTCTCTTGGCTGAGAATGACCAGTAGGGTGTGTTAGGGTGTGTGTGTGTGTGAGTTGTAATGAGCAGGGCATTGATATTAACAGATTGACTATAATCTCAGGTTCTGTAGTCCACTCAACAAACACACACTGAGCAGCTATGATGCGCCAGATACTGTGCTAGGAGAATCAGACCTGGTCCCTGCCCTCCAAAAACTCATAAAATAGTAAGAAGAGACAGGTCTGTACACCAGTAAGTATAAAAAAGGGTTAATTAAGGAGGTAGGTATCTGCTCTTTCTATAAGATACTGGAAATTCCTTGAGGATGAATAGGATAATCTGAATGTACATGTCTAACAGGTCTAAATCCCTCCATCTCAGAGAGGGTTGCCCTGTGGAATGCATTAGGGACTTTAGCTTGATTCACATGCCATGTTGGTGCTAAACTCTGTGGCCAAGCTTTTGGGAGCCATGACAGCCACCTGAAATCAGCAAGTTGCCCTTTGTCAACAAGTGCCTTTTAGTCAGGCTGCAGTTTTGGTCATGAATATATCAGTTCTTGGTTCTGGTATGATTACACCCTTATCCCAGGAGTGATTAGGGGTGACTATCATGATTATCCTCAGGCTCTGGCATATCAATATTCTGTTTTATAGGGGAAACTGAGGCTTGGAGAGGCTCAGAAACTTGATTAGATTATACAACTTGCAAGCAGAGAAGGAGGGCTTTAAATCTAGCATGTCCTGTGTCAAAACCTTTATTTGTAATCATTAGAACATGCTATCGTGGAAAGCTAGCTTCAAAGTTATCTGTTGTATCCTTTATTAAATCTTCGTAAACTAGACAAAAATATCATTGACCTGAAGACATAAACTTTGCTTCCTTCATTTCTAGTCTACAGCAGAGGTTGGCAAACTTTTCTGTAAAAGTCCAGAGAGTAAATGTCTTAGGCTTTGTGGGTTAAAAAATCTGTTGCAACTACTCAGCTCTGCGGTGGTAGCATGAAAGCAGCAATAGACAATGCATAAATGAATGAGTGTGGCTGTATTTCAATAAAACTTTATTTACAAAACCAGGTAGTGGGCTGGATTAGGCATACAGGCAGTAGTTTGCCAACCTCTGGCCTAGAGCAAGAAGAGCTCTCTTTTCACTGATATGACCAGCCATATGATCCTAAATTTGCCCCAGGGATTTTTTTGGTGTGTGTGTGTGTGTGTGTGTGTGTGTATGTGTGTGTGTCTTACTGAACAGTGTCACCCCTGAAGTTAAATGATGAAATAAAAATTCTAGACTGGGCACAGTAGTTCATGCCTATAATCCCAGAACTTTGGGAGGCCAAGGTGGAGGATCGCTTGAGCCCAGGAGTTCAAGACTAGCCTGGGCAACATAAGGAGACCCTGTCTTTGCAAAAAATTTAAAAAAAATTTAGCTGGGCATGGTGGTGCATGACTGTAGTCCCAGCTACTTGGGAGTCTGAGGTGGGAGGATCGCTTGAGCCTGGGAGGTCAAGGCTACAGTGAGCCGTGATCATGCTGCTGCACTCCAGCCTGGAGGACAGAATGAGACCCTGTCTCAAAAACAGACACAAAAACAAACAAAAAATACAAAGAAACAAAAACAAAACAAACTAACAAAAAAACTAGCAAAGGTCAGAAGATGGCCCTGATGTGTCCACATTACTCTTTGTCACCTAGACAATGTGTGTTTTCTGTGCAGGAATGTGTGCAGCTGTTTCATCATTCAATAAACATGTAGTTGACAAATCTCTCTTGCCCAGCCAGATCTGAATAATAGTCTGAGCTTTTGTTTTGGCAGAACCACACAGGAGAAATTTTCCTGCTTAACAATGGCGCTGGACTTTTTCCAGAAAGCAGGACAGCTGGTTTCATACAAGTGCCAGCCTTTAGAATCCAAGATCAGAGAACAACTCAGAGAAGGACTCTTATAGACAGTCTAGTTTAATCTCCTCATAGGTAGTGAAACAGAGATCCAGAGAGGGGAAGTGGCTTCTCCCAAATGTAATCTTCTAGTAGGCAAGGGAAATAAAAGAGGAAACATGAGGAAAGTGGAGCAACTCCATTTCTTATTCATACATACACATCCCTACATCTACTATTAGACTACTGTCAACTCCTGTCTGGTATAAAGCATGTTGGGATTTTATTCAAATGCAGATCCTGATTCAACTCGTTTGGGAGTGGGGCCTGTGTTTCTAGCCAGGTGGTAGTTGATGCCGATGCTGAAAAGTAGACTGCACTTTGAGTTGTGAGGGACTAGGTGCCTGAATCCACCATAACTAGGTTGGGGGAAATAAATCAAGAGTCCCGCTTCCACCATTTGATGGGGCTTGCAACTGAGTCACACTGCTGGCACCTGGTGGGCCAGAAATGAGGCTGAGTGCTTATGTGGCTTCCAAGGCACCCTCTACATCTTTTGTTGTTAAGCACTTAAGATTGAGCTTCTTCCTGGGTTCTGCCCATAGACACAGTCTGTATCCCGCCTGGTAATTTTTTCCAACACTCCAGCTTCCATCTAAGACTCCTCTCTGGAGACTCTCCCTTCCTCAAGGCTGGATCTTGTTGCTCATGTGTTTAATGTGAAGTAAGGACTTGCACATTTCTATCAAGTCTGTCTCTGTGCCATGCAATCAGGATTTTTGTAATAGCAGATCTACAACAACCTCATGTCGTTAATGGCCACTGTCCTAAATTTTTTGCCCCAACCTACTTTATTCATCTCACATGAATTTGCTCCTGACCATCCTGGTTTCATACCTCATTCCCCTGGTTACAGCTTGCCTCACTCTTTATACCTGGTGTGCAGCCCTGCTTTTCTAGCTATAATTGATTCCTTTTCTGGTCAGTGATTTGAATTTTTTCCCTAGTTAAGTAGCCTCAGTGAACAACCTCCCAGTCTGGTCCAGCCCTAATATGCTTTGCCTCTATGCATTCTCTTGGGATTTTGATGGACTTGTCCTGATGCTGTGGTGAATAGTGTCTGTCAATGGCTGGAATCATGATGTGATTGTATTAATCTCAAAATGCCTTGAATATGTGTGTCAGCCTGACTTGGACCATCTCCTGTGGCTTGGACTTTCCTCATTACGTCAACCTGACATGATGAACTTTCTCTTCTTCTTTATCCCTAGTTTTAATACCTATGATAACCACATCTAAGTCTGACACCTCATTTGGTATCTTGGCCTGCCCATCCAGTTTCTCTCATAAGCCCCAACATCTGTCCTTGTCTTTGCTGGTCCTGACTTTTTTCTTCCATCCACTTATCCTGATTACAAGAATCCAGCATCCTCTTGCCTGGGTCTGCCTTCATATGACAGGGTGTCCTGTGCTACGAAGAGCCAGTTCTAACCAAGAAGAGGCATCACTGATAAATAAATCTCAACAGCTTTCAATGTCAATGAAAAATTTCAAGCTGTGTTATAAACTTGTCAATTGCAACATATTTTAACAGCACATAATTGGTCTGAAAAATATAACAATTAGCCTGAAAAATATATTTTATCGGCTTTCACAATGACTACCACTCAGGGTTTCAGGAAAACAGGCCACTTTTGTCATACCTCCCACTTGAAAAATTCATCATATAGGCCACAAGACACAATTGATTTTCATGTGGCTCAGACACAGATCCTTGATTTTTGATCTGGAGGGGATGGAAAGGATCATTTAGCTTTAGCTTTCATTTTCCAGATAGAAAACTAAGGGCTTGAGTGAGTAATAGTTATGATTATACTAACATATGACATTTATTGACAGTGTATTATGTACCAGGTACTGTTTGCTCTAAGCCATTTGAATACATACATTCATTTTAATACTCACTGTCTATGAAGTAGGTATCATTAATATCCCCATTTTGCAGAATGGAAGCTGGTGCAAGAGTGATTAAGTGAACTGTCTGAGATCACACAGTTGATTAGTGGAGGGAATGACTCAGACCTGGATCATTCAACCACAAATCCAATATGCTCCTCTCATTTTTTAATACTTACCCCCTTGGAGCCTAGATTTCTCTTTCTGCTTGTGAATTCCATAGAGGGACAGGAGGGACAATTCTGACAATTCTCTCAACTTAGTCATGGTGTCCTCAGTGGCCCAGGAGGGTAAAGTGAAATTGTGAACACTCTGTAGCAAAGAAAAAGGAAGAAAAATGTATGTGTATTTATATGACTGTCCTCTTTGTTGACTTATCCTTTTTCACCTCACAAGAACTAGTAGGGCCAGACTTTCTTGTCCTGCCATTTCTTTCTAAAAGAACTTCATATTGTGATAAGTAGTGGTATTGACTTTCAGAAGAAAAGCTTATATAAATGAATTTACCCATTCCTACCCAGTCCATAGCTTTTGGTTTAACTCTGGATCAGTGGGTGGCTCATATTTTGCAGAGTAAGGGTGCAGTAGGGAAATAATACCTCATTCCTTTATGAAAGGGTTAGAAATCTTTCTATGAACCTGACAGAGTTAAATGATATTTCCTTAAAAGCTGAATGGGCTGCCTGAGAGGCCAGTTAGGAAAGGCAATATATTTCTGGAGCCTTCAGTAATATATTCTCCCCTACCCCCATCAAGGTCTAGTTTGCTGACTTTTTTTTTCTTTTTTTTTTTTCAGAGACATTGTCTTGCTCTGTCACCAAGGCTGGAATGCAGTGGCCATCACAGCTCACTGTAACCTCAAACTCCAGGACTCAAGCAATCCTCCTACCTCAGCCTCCTGAGTAGTTGGGACTATAGGTGCATGCCACCACACGTGGCACTTTTTTTTTTTTTTTTTTTTGAGACAGAATCTTGCTCTGTCATCCAGCCTGGAGTGCAGTGGCACGATTTCAGCTCACTGCAACCTCCACTTCCTGGGTTCAAGCGATTCTCTTGCCTCAGCCTCCCGAGTAGCTGGGATTACAGGCATGCGCCACCACACCCGCCTAATTTTTGTATTTTTAGTAGAGATGAAATTTCGCCATGTTGGCCAGGCTGGTCTCGAACTCCTGAGCTCAGGCAATCCGCCCACCTTAGCCCAAAGTGCTGGGATTATAGGCATGAGCCACTACACCTGGCCACACGTGGCTAATTTTTAAAAGTGTTTTGTAGAGGTAGGGCCTCATTATGCTGCCCAGGCTCATCCTGAACTTCTAGCCTCAAATGATCCTCCCATCTCAGCCTCCCAGAAGTGCTGGGATTACAGGCAGGAGCCACCATACCTGGCTGTAGTTCACTGACTCTTGAGGAAAGCCTGCACCTTGCACACAGTGGATACTTGGTAAATATGCGTTAAATGAATGGTTAAGTACAAGCAGGGCAGGTGAGACCTTGTGCCAATATTTATTACCCGTTAGGAAGAGTTGATTAGGAGTCCCCCAGTTTCAAAGGCAGGATTAAGAGTGAGAGAAAGTGAGTTCGTGAAAGAGGAGACCAAAGTGGAGTGACCTACAGAGGAAATAAGTGAGAGAGATTTGGAAAAAATATCACATGACATGACCACATTTTGGAATAGCTCAGATCAAACTGTAGTAAGGAAGAAAAAAAAATTATGACTGGAACAAAAATGGGGGCTCTTGTTTTCACTGAAGAGTCTTTTACAATGCTAATGAATTTTCACTGAAATAGTTGCTGATGATTAAGTGAAAATACTGGGAAAGTAGCATGTGATTGGGTCAATTAACTTTAGGATGGATGGAGGCAAACTGTGTCATCTGTTATTAAGATAGAACTACGGAAGTAATTGCTGCCCCCCAGACTCTCACGATGACCTCAAAGTTAGAAGTCAATATGAATTAGGTGGGTGGTCAGAATCTTGCCCCATATTTAGTGAGCTAGTTGGGAAAACAGGAACAGAGAGTACTCCTTTTGGCCAGAAGGTGGAGCATGGTGAGTGAGAAACACCATGTAACCTTGAAAAGCAATCGTAATTTATCTGGCCACAAACGGTATTTCAAATGCATCGCAAAGCAAGAAAGAAGTTCTTTCTTGTTAAGCAAATATAAATAGCCTGGCTTATATTTTGCTTGTTTATTTCTACATTCGGAAATCAGGTAATTTTCCCCTCTTTCTTTATAACAACATTGTTTTTTCATTAAGACCAAGGACAGGAACCCAGCATTTTTGAGTGGCTGCAAAATAAATAAGCTCCTACTGAATCCAAGGGGGGAAAAAACTAAAGTGGAAACTCATAGAAGAAAAGCAATTTTGCTTGTAATTTTCTAAAGGGTGAAAACATAAATAATAATAGAGAGAAAAGAGAAGTCAGCATTTTCAAGTTAATATAAGGAAGTTGTGAATTACGTTTCAATGTCAAAAGAAGTATAAGTAATACATTCATAAAGAAGTGAAAGAAAAGATATTCATCTATTTCAAAATAAGCATAAATCATAAAATCAGATTGCAAGTTAACCTGTGATTTTTTTTTCTTTTACCTCACAATATAAAGGGTCGTAGACTTTACTCCAAATTCCAAAAAGGTCCTGGCCATGTAATCCTGAAAGTTTTCCCAAGGTAGCTATAAAATCCTGAAACACAAACAGAGAAAGAAAAATTCCTACACAGGTTTCTCAGCTTCAGCATTATTGATATTTTGGGCCAGACAATTGTTTGTTGTAGGGAGCTCTCCTGTGCATTATAGGATGTTTCACAGTATCCTGGCCTCTGCCCACTAGATGCCAGTAGCATTCCTAATCTCCCACTTGTATAACCCAGAATATCTCCCGACATTGCCAAATGTTCCTTGTGAGGCAAATGCGCCCCTGTTGAGAACCGCTGTTCTTCACAGAAAAATGCACCAGTAATATTGGTTACGATAATGTCATTCCAAAGAATTTTACAAACACGAATTGATTATTCCTTATTATTACATTTAAAATGTAGATAGATGCTGGCTGACTGCCACATGTTCCTGGTTCGTGCTGGAATTGGATTGAAGTGTACTGCCTCAGATTCTTTTTAGAAGTGGGTAAAGTATAACTCATGTGTAAATATGTCCCAGGTGAGAAAGGAAAGCATATTTCAGGCCAAAGCATCCTGGAACATGCAACACAAATAGGGCTTGGTCTTTGGCTATACATATAAAACTTGGATGGAATGCAAATCTTTCGCTAGGTTCTGTATGTTTCTTGGAATGTCGCAA